>NC_000012.12:108520734-108672249 GCF_000001405.40 Homo sapiens
GGTGGAAGTCACTGGGTCCCTTTCCCAGTGACAGAGCCCATGATGTCTAACACTACTGCACTTTGTCAGTGTGTGAGTGATGGCGAATACGCAGTGTTGTCTCTTTGATTTGGTAATTCCGTTCCTGACAGTAATGAGGCCACTGCTCTAAAGTAGTTTATACAGTTCTTCAGTTGTATAAATAGCACAGAGTAGTTTTTGAAAGGTTAAGAAAAATAAGTGAAAAGACATACACGATATATGAAATGGCTCCAAATGATAATTGTTCAAACCTTTATAAAATGTGTTTTCGTACTCTTATGCTGCCAGAGGTACTTCTTAAAACTCTTCTCGTCTTGGTTTTATAAGCACACCACGGAGGTCTGACAGATGTGCTTGCTTCTACTACAGAGCAAGAGAATTTGCACTTTAGCTATATGTGAAGGATATTATTTTAACAAATTCCTGATTCTAATAAAGTTATTTTATTACATGAATGCTTGAGACTGTCTTATTTGGGAGATGTTCCCATCTGTCATAAGGGCAGTGGGGGTATTCTGACCTTTAGCCCTATTCATAATACTGTTCTGGGAGAGCAACAGATCCAAGATGGTGATTTCCATGGGCAAGAGACCCAGAAGTTGGATAAACCGCCTACCTAGGTGGGCAAGGATGAATTACTGATTTTTTTTTACTAACAAACAGTCAAGTAACTGAAGTAGTTTTTCACATTTCTATTTATCATCAGTTCTGGATTTTCTGGGGAAAACACACAAACCCACTCATGTAGTCCTGGAAATCCATTTCTAGAACAGTCAACACCCGGAACCTAACTGGGTTCTGCTCAAGCCTGAAAAGGTTTGCCCCTGTACCAAGCCTGGGCTGACATCTGCAAGTGTGACATTAAGGTCAGAATACTGGCTGCAGGCAAAGCCAAACCGTTAATGTGAAGCAGCAAAAAGTAAGGCCACACTCACCCATAGTGATATTCAGGGCTCTTCATGTGTCAGGTCCCCAACCATGAGGGCTCTGAGCTACCCAAATCATCACACCAGCTGAACAGTCCATCAGCCTTCCAAGCAGCATCACAGAGAACACTGCAGGAGGAACGCGTGGGACAGCAAAGGTTCTTGCTGCTGTCAATAGCCGCCGCTTGAATTTAATTCAGAAGTAAAGCCTAGTAAAAAGTTGGTTTTGTATAAAAAAGAGATGGAGGGGAACCTACCTTTTAAGACTTAAGAGGCTTACCAACCAATAATTTACAGGGAGGAGAGCTGATATTTGTAGGAAGGTGGAAATTTGAGTGGACAGTTGATGACATGAAGGGATTACCACTAATGTTTCTAGGAGTGAAGGCCTTTCAGTCCTCCTGAGACACCTGCCGCAACATTACTGGATGAGCACAATGACATCTGGAACGTGCCTCAATATAACAGAGGGTGGAGGGGAAACAGACATGAAGGAAGAGGGGCTGGGAGTTGAGGAATGCTGGAAGCTGAATGGTAGGCACACAGGAGTTTATTTTACTGTTCTGTCTACTTTTTAATCGGTTATATTAAAAAATGTTAAGTTAAAAAAATATAGAAAACCCGACTGATGCACAAAAACTTAAACTTACGCAACAGATAAATGAGGAGTTGATTCCCACGACATATACAAGGATTCCCTGACGTCTTTCTCCAGAGTGTCTTAATAAAGCAAGCTTCCCCTACTGAACTGGCCAATGCTGTTGCTGTTTTCAAAGCAGTAAATATTATTTGATAAAAGATGTGAGGTAAAAAAGCTCAAAAGCTCCAGTGTCAAACTGCTATAAAATGAAGACACATCACAGCTGGAATAATTTAAATCAAAGTGACAATGGGATTTGACTTACAAAAGTTCTATTTACACATCTATTAGGTAAAGCAAGGTACACCCACTTCAAAACACATCTGTATGTGAATGCACATCTGAGTACCATTCAGCAAGAAGTTTTGAAGAGAACGTCAGTTTAATAAAGCTAAATGGGGAGAATTGAAGTTTGCATTTGACATGGTATTAAACAAAACCAAAGGGCTGAAACTCATGTTTAGACAACACAGGTCACTAGTCACTAGGCAAAGAAAACAGTCCACAGCAGGTGGCACAAATAATTCCTATACAAAACAAATGTTGCAAATATTCTGCTTTTAGGAAACATGAAACAATGGCTGACATGTCATTTACAAACACATAATATAAAAATGCACAGCCCCATTGAACAAAACTCCAGCAAATGTTTTATAGCTGACTTCCCTCAGACCCACCCCCACAAGAGGCCATTCTGTGAATTACTAGCATCTGCCATTTCATCTTTTAAAATTAAAAGAATGACGGGCACATGTGCTGTGCAGGGTGGAAGAGAAGTGTCATACAAAAAGGGGCCGGAGCTGGCCAGAAACATTTGGACAACTGTGTCTCAAAAACAGTGTGTTCTCGTTTCGCTTCTGTGCCTCAGTCTTTAAGATACAAAACTATCTCAGGACACCACATCCTGGGCCCAGCCTGCAGAGTGGTCACTTTTCTGCCACTGCCCTCAATATGAGGGAGCACTGAAAGGCTCTTGACTTAGAACCCCTTCCCCTTTCTGTCTAAAGCCGAGGAGCCATCTGTGGTTGCGAGCACGCAGCACACCAGGCCTGTCCATCCCCAGTGCACTGCTGGGTGGTGGGAGGTCCGCCGGGCCAGAGTGAAGTAAGGCATTTCCTGTCTCCCAGCGTCCCGTTCACTTTCTCAGAAACAGCTTGGCAAAATCGGCATTGGACATCTTGGGTGCCTCGGTGGCTGCTGGGGCGGCAACTGCAGGAGCCGCGGCAGGGCCGTTCTCAGCCTGAGGAGCTGCAGCACTTGGGCGCTGCAGGGCACGAGGCAGTAGAGACAGCTGCGTCCTTCCCTTCCCCCTCCTAAAAGAGCAAACACTGAATGGACCTTTTGAAGCAACAATTCGTGGCCCCTCATTTATTTGTGAAAATAAGCCAAGACAGTTTTAATATAACCAGAAGTTAAAAGGTGAAAAAAAAAAAGGATAAGATAATCCCTGCCTCCTTAATTCTGTTTATGAAGTAAAAACTGCTTCAACAGACTTGGCCTTGTTCAGTTTTGGCAAAGATCAACCCTGAGCACCAGTCACACTCAGAGGGGATCAGTGTGACTATCACCTCTCAGACCTCACCAGTCACCTGGCAATTCTGCTATCTCCTCCTCATCCCAAACCAGCGAACAGCACAGCTTATGTGGATCATAGCTAGGGCCGTAGACTGGCACACACATGGGTATGAGATTTCTTTGTAAACACACAGATCCAACTGGCAAAGGGGACTTTAAAATAATCACTGCCTTATTTCTGTCTGAAATAAATGACAAGTGTAAATTGGCCAGTACCAGGCAGAGGTCACTGCCTAGGCTTGCATCCTGCTCTGGACGCCTTGCTCCAGTGGAACCACAGTGATTACCACAAGGAACAGCACATCTTGGCTTTTCTGTCCTAACAGGAAGCTAATTCATCCCGGGTTAATCCCCCCGTGATCCATGAACTGGTGCCAGCCAGGACGAAGTTTGCACTAGTCTACCATGCAAGCACTTACGCTCCGTATGTCTGCGGCAAAAGCATGGGGCCACCTGGTGCCTTCCTGGTCTCCGGCTTCTCTGGAACTTTCCTCTGAGGAGGGTTGCTGATTGCCACTTTGATGATGTTCTCTTTGATAGTCATGCCGTCCATCTTCATCACAGCCTGCGACGCCTGGGATTCATTTTCATACTCCACGTAGGCCAGGCCCTGGAAGAGGCAAGATCCAGAACCAAGTCAGATCCCGCAGACTAGGGACGCAACCTCCTCCTGCAGGGCAGGCACTGGGCTTCCTCCCGGAGACCAGCAGACCAGGCCACAGCAAACGACCCACCAACAGGTTACCTTCCCCACCACCGCATCCTCTGTCTACAGGCTTATTTCCCCACCCTACTCTCCTTCCCGAGTGCTGCTATGCACTGTAACTTCAGATAACCCTTCCAAGTTCAGCACACCTTGTACGTGCTGCAGAAGTAGAAAGAAAGAAGGAAAAAGACAGATGGACCAGTATAAATCCAGCAAATAAACCAAGAGGTGGATGGGACACAGGGCCAGCAGCCCAGGTGCCCAGGTGAGCCCTCGTGTTTCTGTGCCTTCACCCGCTCCCTCATTTCATCCTCTTTTTCTCTCCATTAACCTGGATAAAGGGGAGGGAGAGTGGGCAGTGGGTAGACAGTAATGAAACCACTTACTACTCAAAATGGGGCACAAAAGGACTTAGCAGGAGACTGAGGGGGCAAGAAGGAAAGACAGGAGAAGAGGCACTGCAATGGAGGGACTCAAGGGGCCTGGTTGGAGGCCCCAGAGAAAGAGAGGCCTGGGACAGAGGGAGAAGGCTGCAGGAGGGCGCCCACCCCAAAGCCCGTATGCTGCTGGTCACAGGGCTTCCCCCAAGCCCCACAGCCAGGGGCCATAGTGTGGTGAATTCATGATCCTCTATTTCCAAGTGTCTTATTCTTTTTAGTACAATTAACTACAAACAGGTTAATCTGACTCCAAATATAAGTAGAGCTAAGTGCAGATCTTTCTGTGAAATTAACTTTTGTTTCTCAGCAGACAAACTAGGAACCCATTCTAGAGGTTAAATCATCTTTGAACCGATACAGAAACGAAGTTTGCCCAAGCCTTGAAGACAAGGCACAATCTGCTCTGACTCTGACCTTTGGTTTGCCAGCCCGGTTGGTGACCAGCCTGAGGTCCTTCACGGTGCCATGAGCCTTACAGATTTCTTCTAGTTCCTCTTTAGTACAGGAGAAAGGCAGGCCTGAGATGAACAGCTTGTGTTTCTCTAGGGAAGTGCTGTACCTGAACACCTATAGGAAGAAGGAAGACAGAGAAAAACCATGATTCGAGGCATGACCCAGCTCACCTGACTCCTCTGACACCAGCCTTGTCCCCATGAGCAGCCCAGCCAGGCAGACTAGAGCCAAGCCATGCTCTGAAACTTGTTAATGGGGCCACCGGAGCGAGTCACTTAACCTCTCCAGGCCTCCATGTCTTCCTCTGTAAAACGGCAAGAATAAAAGTAACCATTCACAGAGTCTCATGAGGAGTCAATGAGCTGACACACATAAAGCATTCAGCACAGTCCCTTGTCATTGCTAAGCACCCAGCAAGAAGGAGCCATGCCATGAGTCAGACCTCAGTCAACCGGCTCAGGATGGACCTTGGCTCACAAGGAAGTTTAGATCCAAACAGAGCGTAAAACTTCCATGTCTATCCTAAATATCACTGCTGCAGGAAGAAAGTGCCTGTCTAAAGCAACCACAGATGAAAGGCATTCTTTTTTTCCATAAACCTACCTTAAAATCGGGGTTTTTGCTCTTATCCACACAGGGGGAAACAAACATTGGCCTCCCTTCTACACTTTTCCGGTCCATCTCCAGTGCCTGAAGGGCTGATTTCTCTTCTTTAAACTCCACGTAGCAGTAACCTCGGAAATCCCCACGGTTGCTGAAGATGGGTCGGATCTGGACCACCTCCCCACAGGCCTCGAAGAGTGGCCTGAGCTTCGTGTCCGGCTCCTGCATGCTGTAGGGCAGGTTGCTGACAAAGACGGTGATGCTGTCCTTGCTGCTGTCGTGCAGCACCTTGGGCATGTCCCTCTTCAGGGAGGCTGCCTTCTCCTTCTGCTTCGAAGGGGGCTCCACATCTACGGCAGCACATTTCCCAGCGGGCCCTGCTGCTACTTCTACATTTTGTGTTTCTCCAGCTGCAGGGATGCTGTTCTCGACCCTTCTGCGTTTGGAAGGCTGCTCTACAGGTTTTCAAAAGAAAAGTAGCCATGGTTAACTGTTACTTCTCTTCAGGGAGCTTGAACAGAGGTGTGAAGTGAAAGTGCTGTGACAGCTGCATGTGACACTTACTCCCTCACCAGACTCGGAGGGGCAAGCACCACCCCGAGAAGTCTTTTGTGATCCGCCTGACCTGTCCCACGACTTTCTGTGCCCCAATTACACTCGGGTAAGTGGGCTCAATCAAGTGGAAGTAATAACATAAATCCCCATTGTCCACTCTTAATTATACAAAAGGTCAGTGGATCTCAAAGTTCAGAAGGCAAATTCCAGGGCCCCTCTCCTACAAAGCCCAGATCAGCAGGGTTGGGATAGGACATGAGAATCTGCACTGGAAAAGCACCCTAGTGACTGATACCCGTGCCCCAGGGAGCACATTTTGGAAAGCACTACAAAGGATCTGTGGTTTCTAAAACACTTTCAATATGGCCTTGTGTCCTTAAGAGAGCTTAACCACAATCTTCTACTGCAGTCTGTCCTCACCACTGCCTCCAGAGGGCCAGTACTGAAGCTCAACAGACATCAGCCTCCGGCAAACAGACCTCCCCATCAGTTCACCCGCTGCCTTTCCAATGCAACGTAAGCCCTGCACACTGCTACTGTATTCAAGAGTGTCCCTGGGCTGGGTCCAGCTGACTGGCCCACCTACCACTCCAGCCTCCTCGACCACTGCCCCACCCCTCTCTAATGCATCTGAGTTCAAACCCAATTATCTGCTGCTCACAGAAAATGCCAGGCTGTGCTGTGCCTTCAGGCTGTACTAACATTGGCTCCTCCCTGTGTAGCTCAGACCTTCCCTTCTCGCTGCCACAGTCACTCGGTCTTCCCCCTGGATGCCGCATCTCTTCCCCCACAGTCTTCCTGGTACGAAGTTGACCCACTAGTGCCTTCTTTGGCCTCCACCAGTATTAACAATGCCATCTCCCACAGTCCTGATCACACGCCATGCCCTGATCACACACCACTGCGGTCACACATCACATTTGCCTTATTCTGCCAAACTGGGAGGCCAGTGGAGCAATGAGCCATCCTCAGTCATTTAGGAAAGCCCAAACAAGGTGTGCAAGCAAGGTCAACTCAACGATGGATGACTCCATTCCCAGTTCTCTCTGGCTCACACATCTGTATTAAGAAAGTATACAGAGTCCTTTCAAGTCCAGAGACAATTCTTTTTTTTGTTTTGTTTTGTTTTTGAGACAGTGTCTTGCTCTCTCTCCCAGGCTGGAGTGCAACGGCATGATCTCTACTCATTGCAACCTCTGCCTCCCGGGCTCAAGT
The DNA here is from genome assembly GCF_000001405.40 of Homo sapiens. Classification (NCBI taxonomy): domain Eukaryota; kingdom Metazoa; phylum Chordata; class Mammalia; order Primates; family Hominidae; genus Homo; species Homo sapiens. The sequence continues at coordinate 108,527,869 of NC_000012.12, forward strand.
AATTCTCCTGTCTCAGCCTCCCGAGTAGCTGGGAAAACAGGCACCCGCCACCACAGCCAACTAATTTTTGTATTTTTAGTAGAGGCAGGTTTTCACCATGTTGGCCAGGTTGATCTTGACCCCTGACCTCAGGTGATCCGCCCACCTCAGCCTCCCAGAGTGCTGGGATTACAGGCATGAGCTACCGCGCCCAGCCACCAGAGACAATTCTTTACCTTGACTGACTCTCTGAAATAAATATGACCCAGAGCTGCCCGTCCCTGAAATTACAAGGGTGAAAGAAACACTGCTGGAAAATTCCACTAAGTCAGAACCATTAAAAGCAGGGCCAAGGCCAGGTGCAGTGTCTCATGCCTGTAATAACAGCACTTTGGGAGGCCAAGGCGGGAGGATCACTTGAGGTCAGGAGTTCAAGACCAGCCTGGCTAACATGGTGAAACCCCGTCTCTACTAAAATACAAAAATTAGCTGGGCATGGTGGCTGGCAAAGTGTAATCCCAGCTACTTGGAAGGCTGAAGGAAGAGAATCACTTGAACCCAGGAGGCGGAGGTTGCAGTGAGCCGAGATCACGCAACTGCACTCCAGCCTGGGCGACAGAGCGAGACTCCCTCTCAAAAAAAAAAAAAAAAAAAAGTAGGGCCAAGCCTGGCAGGTCTGTGCAGGGTTGGGGCTGCAGCAGTGGTGCGGGATGCTAGAGCCTGAATGGAAGGAAGAAGACAGGCAGGCATGGGGCAGTGACAGGGACCCAGCAGCCTAGATCTGGAAGCCTGAGTGAAAGAAGCAAGGGTGTCCATGCAGGGCCGTGCCTGGCCCCGGGTGTGGGAGACCAAACAGGGTGGGGATGGCACATATGAGAAGGGGAGGCAGGCACAGGAAGTTGATTACATACCTACAGGGGCCGGGTGGAGTAACTGAGGATGCTGAGAATAGAGGGAGCCAAGTTTCTCAAGGTCAGAGAAGGGCGTGACACAGCTGGGCACAGTGGCTCACACCTGTAATCCCAGCACTTTGGGAGGCCGAGGCAGACAGATCACTTGAGGCCACAAGTTCAAGACCAGCCTGGCCAACATGGCGAAACCTGATCTCTACTAAAAATACAAAAAATTAGCCAGGTATGATGGTGCATGCCTGTAATCCCAGCTACTTGAGAGGCTGAGGCACAAGAATCACTTGAACCCGGGAAGCGGAGGTTGAAGTGAGCCAAGATCACCCCACTGCACTCCAGCCTGGGCAACAAAGCGAGACTCTGTCTCAAAAATAAATGAATAAATAAATTTTAAAAAGAGAGAGAAGGGCATTGCAAGTGTGAAGGGGAACCCTGTGGTGTTAGACCGGAACTGGAGGTATTGGTGTGAAATCATGACTTTCAGTATATACAAATAGTTACACAAGTAAATATGGTCATAAATATGTGTACACATGCACACGCACACGCACACACACACACACTCCCTACCCTCGACCACTCAGGCCTCAGAACAATAACCAACAGCAGTGAGCACAACTAGCACCTTCTAAATACCACTCATCACTCAAAGGAACCTTGGAGAAATGATGGATTCCAGGGCTGAGTTATGGAAAGTATAAGATGACCCTTGGGTATTGTGTGCTAGAAGGTAAGGAAATGATCAAAGAACAAGGGGACAGGTCAAAGGGACATAGAAGCCTGTGTGAAGGAACTCTTGCTAGCCAAACCTGGGATAAGTAGAGAATCAGCATAAATAATTCTCAAAAGGGTCATCACCAGTGATGGAACAAAGCGAATCACAGTCCACCTGATGGGACTCAATGGGCAGGCCACAGGAGCACTTGTGCACTATTCCTGCCCGAGATGCATGAGTGGAATCCAATGCTTAGGGAGCATCAGACACACCCAGGCTGAGGGGCACAACACAGCAACTGGCCTGCCCCCTTACAAGACTGCAGGTCATCAGAGTAAAAAAAAAAAGCTGAGGAGTGCTCCAGACTCAAGGAGATCCAGGAGACAGGACAACTAAACACAATAGTGCATCCTGAACCGGATCCTTTCACTACAAAGGACATTATCAGGATAAATGGGAACCCATAGCTCATTGCTAACCCCGGCTCTGATGGCTGCATTCTAGTCATGTAGAAGAGGGCCCCTTGTTTGCAAGACATACACCCTAACAGTGATCAAAGGGTAATGGGTATCAAGCTGGTAACGGTTCAGGGAAGAAAGTTCTTCATACTGTATTCGCAACTTCTCTAACTTTAAGACGTTTCAAAACACAATTTCTCAAGAGCTCCTTACCTTCTTCATCATCGCCCCACTCTTTCTCATCATCCTCATCTGCTCCGCGCTTCTCTGGGCCTCTGATCTTTTTCTTCTTTTTTAACGCTTTCTTCTCAGCCCGAGCTCTTTTCCGTTGTTCAGCCTTTTCTTCTTCTTGCTGCACAAGGGCTGCTTCCTTCTCTGCAGCCTAGAAAAGTGGGAAGATGATGCATCGCTGGATGTGGCAATTACATTCACTGTACTGATTTGTCATGAAAGGGGAGAAGGAGTGGAAATTCATTACTAATGAAAAGCAGAGATCAGGAGAAAAACGTGGACAGGCTCACGGCTGTTCCACACCAGGGCTCATTCAGGTTCGTTGGAATTCTGGATCTGATGTCTCTGTTACATTAGCAATTTCCTCACCCTAATCATTACTCACCAAAAGGAAGGCAAAAAAATCCATAAAACTGGCCGGGCGCGGTGGCTCACGCCTGTAATCCCAGCACTTTGGGAGGCCGAGATGGGTGGATCACGAGGTCAGGAGATCGAGACCATCCTAGCTAACATGGTGAAACCCCATCTCTACTAAAAAAATACAAAAAATTAGCTAGGTGTGGTAGCGGGCACCTGTAGTCCCAGCTACTCGAGAAGCTGAGGCAGAAGAATGGCGTGAACCCGGGAGGCAGAGCTTGCAGTGAGCCGAGATCATGCCACTGCACTCCAGCCTGGGCAACAGAGCGAGACTCCGTCTCAAAAAAAAAAAAATCCATAAAACTGAAGCCCTAAATAAGTTGGGGTGTTCATGTTCCACTCACTAGGCTAAGTGAGGCTCTTCTTTATTCTTTTTCATCAATTCTCGTAAATTTTAGAGCCAAAATTCCCTCACTAAATGAAACAAGTACTTAATATTGGGGCTGATGTTTTAGAACAATGTAAAAATGACACAAGACAGGTTTAAGCATTGATCTAAATATTTTATAATTAATACTGAGTAAAAGACACTTAGGAAAATGTAAAACATCTTGACAAGAAACATCCATACCAAACTGAGCCAAAATAGCTACCAGAGGTGCCAAAGACTTCAAACATTGTCATTACCTTCATTCTCTGCTCATTGACACGAGCTAATCGGGTTTCAGTTTTCTGAACAGCTATATCCCAATCTTCTAAAGAACCTTGAAAGAAAGAGAAGCAAAACTTTCACTCTTTAGGATTTTGAAGGATACAATCACATAAATTTTTCTTAATTTCTCTGTACCTCCAGAAGAGATCTCTCCCATCAAACAATAAGAAAATGTAATCCCTGTAGGCTTGAAGTTCAGAATTCAAATAGTCCTTCTAAGTGGGTTTAAAATGTCCCTCTCCTTTCAGGAGAGACTTGAAAACCAGAATATGATCTATTAAGGGCTCTAAATGGCAAAGAATATGAAAACGAACGTTCTAATGCAAAAGTACATTTATATTAAGACTGAAGAATTTTAAGAGCTACTCAAATGTTGAGGCATTTATTTCTTATTTTTTGGTGGTCTTTGCAAGCCAGTTCTGAGGGGTCCATACCCAAAATCCAGACCAATACCCACAGATAAGTTCACATTATTTTTCTATTGGTTCTAGCTAACACTGAAGGCTCTGAAATTTAACAAGGGATGCAAAGGACACATTGAGCCATTTGCCTCTCCAAGCTCCTTTGTTGGATAGATGTTGTACTAGAGCACAGTGACTCTCAAAGGAGGGATCCTGCCCATCAAGAGACATTTGGCAATGTTAAGAGACATTTCTGGTTGTCATGTTTGGTTGTGGTGGTGAAGCTGCTACTGGCATTTCAGGGCTAGAAGCCAGGGATGCCCCTAAACATTGTATAACGCACAGTCCCCCCCACAGAGAATTAGAACCCTGTGCTACAGTGACATCACAGAGTCCTCCTTGTAGCTGCAGAATTTGAGAAGAGCTGCAGGAGGACTCATTTTCAGGACACTTGTGACAGTCTAATCATAGGGCACCACCTAAGGTGGCAGCATAAACACAGTCTGTCCCCAGACTGTAACCAGATGCTCCTACTTGAGACCAAACAGCAAATGGGTTAGGCTCCAAGCCAGAAGAGAGCTGGGGGTCCCACCTTCTGTCCTCTCCATGGTGAGTAACACTTCGCAGACGTGCTCTGGGTAGTCACTGGTGCACTGGACGGCCCGGTGCAGAGCCTTCCGGCAGTGCTGGGTGTCACCATGAGCTCTAAGGCAGAAAACAAAAAGTTGCTGCCACCAGGACACAAAGTGGAAGGCACTCGAAGGGAGAGGCCGTCTTCTCCCAGGTAGAAACTCACTCTTCAGTAACTCTAGCTTCTGAGAAGACCTTAGCTTTCAGATCTATCCATGATGCTTTCTCCTTCCAGAGTCTCTACAGTCACCTACGAAGTATTTCCCTGAAGCACTCTCTCCCTCAGCCATGTAGGGGCTACTGGAAAGTGTACCTGATATTGTGATCTGCAACCAGCATTCTGCCTTTACAGCATTCACATGTGCGGCACATGGCGGGGGAGTCCAACAGCTCTCTGTAACCTGATACAGTCCCCAGGGAAATTTTACTATGGCGTCCTACTGACAGGAGAGTTATGAATCCAGGGTAGTGTCAAATTTCATACCCAGAGTCAGATCTTTTTTTTTTTTTTGAAAGGGAGTCTCGCTCTTGTCACCCAGGTGGGAGTGCAATAGCACGATCTCGGCTCACTCCAACCTCTGTCTCCCAGGTTCAGGCAATTCTCCTGCTTCAGCCTCCTGAGTAGCTGGGATTACAGGTGCCCACCACTACACCCAGCTAATTTTTGTATTTCTAATAGAGACAGGTTTTCACCAGGTTGGCAAGGCTGGTCGCAAACAGATCCTTTTTGTACACTGCTAATCACAACAGCTACACAATTCTGCTAATCATAACTGTTATGCAACAGTGTATTCATATTTGTTTTTAAAACATTTTAAATATACATAATTATATATACATATTATGATGCTCAGAATAAATTCAGAGCACTGGTTCTCAAAGTAAGATCCACGTACCCCTGAGGATCTCCCAGAGCCTCTCAGGGGCCCTGCAAAGTCAAAACTCCTTTTATAATAATACCAAGACATTACTGGACTTTTTCACTGTGTTGACATCTTCAAGACAGTGCACAAGTAATGGTGGCCCTTAGCACAAATCAAGGCAGTAGAAATCTTTTTAATGCACTGTGTGATGAAATACTAAGTACACTTAAAGCCCTTCTGCATACTGAAGTACAATGGTTATTGCCAAAAAAAAAAAAAAAAGCATATTACTGTTTGAGTTGCAAGCTAATCAAGTCATTTTTTTCAAGGACACCATTTTTACTTGAAAGGAAACTTGAGTGACAAACCACGGTCAGTTACTCAGACCTGGGTATTTGGCAGACATTTTTGAAAATTAACAAAGTGAGGCTGCCACTCTGGGGAAAACCACTGACATTATTTGTTGCATGTGATAGAATTCAAGCTTTCAAGTGAAAATTAGAATTTTGGAAAACTTGTATCTGCCACCACAAGTCTGACAGCTTCCTACTTAAAATACTTTTCAACTAAGATCAATACAGATATGAACAAATACGATTTTTTAATACTATAGGATGAAATATGTCAACATTGGAAGAGCTGCATGATTTAGTGAATTGGGATTTTTCCAAATAATGTCGTAGAATTGTGGCATCAAGTAAAAGATAAAATAGACAAATGGGTATTACTGTAACAGACTCTGTCAATATGGTTTCAGATTCCACATGCAACACTGAAGTTTTGCTATAATATGTATGAAAGAAGAATACCCACAATTATCTGAAAATGCTTCTAAAATACCTTTCTTTCCTAACCTCTTCAATGAAAACAACAGATCACAACAGACAGAATCAGTAACAGACATGAGAATTTAGCTGTCTTCTCCTAGGTCAGAATAATGTGCAAATAAATATATTTGCAAAAATAGAAAACACTGCCACTTTTCTCACTATATTATTTTGGGGTCTGGAAAACAGTCACTGCTCAAAAAAGATATTAATGTTAGATAATTTGTTATATTTAAATAAATTAAAATGTTTTTTAGATTTCTCAATTTATAAATTATAAATATCAATAGATATAACTCACATACATAAAAGTTTTTTGGGATCCTCCAATTTTAAGAGTGGAAAATGGATCCTGAGACCAAAAAAATTGTGAACTGCAGATCTAGGGGGATATTCAACAAGCTTTAACAGTGGTTATCTCTGGGGTGGGATTGTAAGAAACTGTCACGTTTAGCCGGATATGGTGGCTCATGCCTGTAATTCCTACACTTTGGGAGGCCGAGGTAGGAGGATCACTTGAGGTCAGCATGACCTACATGGTGAAACTGTGCCTCTTCTAAAAAAAAAAAAAAATCCAAAAATTAGCCAGGTGTGGTGGTGCACGCCTGTAATCCCAGCTACTCAAGAGGCTGAGGCAGAAGAATTGCTCGAACCCAGGAGGCAAGGTTGCAGCTGAGACTGCACCACTGCACTTCAGCCTGGGCAACAGAGTGAGACTCCCCACCTCCCCCGAAAAAAGAAAAGAAACTGTCGCTTTCTATCACATATTTTTGTAAATATTCTAATTTGGGCACACAGTGTTTTTTAAATAGGGAAAAAATCTTCAAAAAAGAAAACCCAGCAATGTAGCAATGTTATGCAATGAACAACGTTCAAGACAGACTGAAAAGTTGGTCACATTCTTTATGTTTTCCCCATGTTATAAATATTGTTAGGCCTATCTTATTTCGTTCAAATAGTTTTAAAGGCTTGTAACACATGCATGCTATAATTGCATTTTCATTACAAAAAAATTTAAACATAGAAAAGTCTCAAAGAATGGGTCATGGTTATGACTGGGTCAGTAATTTGAGTTTTTTTTCTCTTAGCTTTTTAGTATTTTCTACTTTTCTATAAAAGCAAATATAAAAAACAAATAGCTCCAAAAGGTCAAATAAAATATCATGCCCAAAAATCAAGACAAAAACAAATTAAAAGAAATGCATGGCTATAAGAGTTCCAGGCACAAAATATCATGTCTGGTTCTCTAGCCCTGCCCATTAAAAATGTACCCACTACTGAAAGAGACAGAATGAAAGAAAACAGCCCAGTTCTAAGGAGCTAGTCCAAGCTGGTAGGAGTCAGCCAGGAGTGAAGACAGGTGCACAGCTGACAAGCACTGCCTCCCTCCCCACCCCGAGATCAGTTACCTTTCCAGGTTGTAATACTCTAGCCACATGTTGGCGTACTTGGCATTTCCTCTGGTCATGATGCTATCCCAGAGTTCCCGAGCTTTCTGCATGTTATTGCACAGTCGAGCCTAAAGTGCATCAGCAGGCTGTTAGGAGACCTGAACCTTATGACGTCGACACCCATCATACAACACACTTCCAACAGACACACATAAAAAGCACCCCACAACTATTAGTGTTACAGATGTCCCTGGGCATTCCCCAGGCCTCCCTCCAGTGGTAAACGACCCAGCCCAAACACTTGAGCCTTTCTGCAGCCACAAGCTAATCTACCTATGTTTCCTGAGAACCGAGAGAGGGAGCGCACGGTACTTACTCGACAGTACTAGATAGTCACGTTTTTTATTTTTATCAAGCTTAACTACAAGTGTTTGAGAGACAATGTTAAAAAAAAAAAAAAGACTGATCTAGTATTAAATGCACACTCTGCTACTAATACTTACAAACTGTGACTTGGGCAAATTACTTAACCTGTAATTCTCAGTTTTCTCATCTTTAAAATGGTTAAAAGATAAGCATCCCATATAAAAACTACCTGACAAATGTTAGTTTCTTCTATCTGACGCTCCCTCCGAGGAGAAAACATGATTAGAATTGTTACAATCCTACCTGCTGATCAAGGGAGGTTCCGTGTCTTACTGACCTTGGTGTCCCTGACCCAGTAATGACATTCAAGTCATCATATCCTCTAATTACTTGTCAAATCATCTGTCTTCTACATTAGATAGAAGCCTTACTAGCAAAGGAATTTTATCTGTCTTATTCCCACAGCACCTAGTACAGTGCTGACAAACAGTACACGCTCACTGTGCTCTCACAAATGAAGCAAAGAGGCAGAGACAGAAGTAAACGAGTGAATACCTAGCATCTAAACATTTACTGCACAACTTCTAGCTGGGAGCTAATATTTTCACCAACATATTTACAAATATATGTCAAGCTAGGTAAATAACATGAATCCTTGTGGAGCCTAGACCATTACCTAGGTAATAACATAAATCCTTATAGAGCTTAGGCCATTATCTGGGATTCTGACTCAATTTTAATTAAAGTTTAATAGGATGCTATTAAACAATGATGGATGAAAGTGCTAGATGTGTCAAAAACATTTACCTCAATCCTAGCCCAGTTCTGCATAATCACGCAGCTTGGATCACCACTCTCATTGAAACCTTCAAAAACAGAATTAGTAAAATTAGAAAGGAACTTGGAGACAGATAGTCGCTGGCTGAAAAGGTACATCAACCAGGAAATAGTACAGACAAGGAAATACAACTGGGCAAAACCACAGGCTGGGGCATACTTACGCTCTTCCACCTCCTGCTTCAGATACTCCAAGGCACGAGTAAAGGCGGCCCTCAACTCCTCCAGCTCTTTACTGGAGTCTAACGGAAAGTGCAAAAAAAGGCTTTAGGAAACCACATAGCCTGGCTTTGTTTTATTTTTTATCCTATGCTGAAACTGCCTGGAGACCCACTATGTACCTGGCATCATGCAAGGGACACAGAAATAAAATTGCCAATTCCTGCCCTCATCACATAGTTGGGGAGAAAGAAATTTGAACAGAATAGAGCATGGACAGCGTGGTGAAAAAGGCAAACACAGGGTGCTGTGGGGGGGAGTCTCCCCCAGCTGGGGTGACACAGGCAAACAAGAGAATGGCTAAAGGCTACCTGTATGAGGTGACAGCTGACATGAGTGTGCAAGTACAAGTTAGGGGTTTTCTGGTTGTTTTCGGGGGGACATGAAGGGGCAAAGGATCCCACAGAGGTACAAAGATTTTTCTAAAACACAGCAGACTTATTTCAAGAAGTATTTAGGATAAATAAAAAGACCTGAAAGGAGAAATGAGAGCTAAGACTAAAAAGGCTGGCAGGAGCCAGTATAAACGATTACTCTCTTGCTTTACAATCCACATCATGACTTGTTAAAGACAGAAATTGCTAAGATTTCTGGGGGAAAAAGTCACCAATACCTAGTCTACATCATTTGCCCAATCACAATGTATCTGGGGAACTGGGACATCTCGCCAAAAGTTGTATTAAGAACATGTTCAGCTCTAAAGTGAAAAACATGTGCTTAAATACCTTGTTTGAAATCAACCCTTCTCCTCAGGTAATCAAGGTATGCCTGCCAAATCTCCACATAATCAGTGGCCTGGATGAAGCCGGCATTCAAAGCTTTCTCGAAGGTTACTGGAGTTGGAGAAAAGTCAGGATTTGTTACCAATTCAAATGGAAACTAATAGAAAGTCACTACATTCTACTGACTATAAAACACTACATGACTTTAAAGACTAATAGATGCAACAGAATGAAATGAGCTAGACAGGAATGTTGAAGACAGAAGTTGCTACAGCACTCTACAGACTGTGTTCTAGAAAAAACTTCTTCCACAAGACGCCCTGCAAGAAAAGTTCCAGATCAAGGAAGTTTGGAGAAAACACTACAACTTCTTAGAAAATACAATGAATATTAGCATGTTAAAAAGCTCTAAGAAGCCACAAATATAACCAGTTCATCTCTCACTCAGAGCCCTTTTTGTCACTACACTCCATAACCCAAAGAAAACCCCAGGGAACACTGATGTAATGACTTTGTCACCGCTCTCTGTTTTTCACTTGGGACAAATAGCTTAGAAGTTCTCCCACAAAAACATCCGCACCAGAAATTACTTGATGATCAACTCCATGTCTCTCCATGGCCAAGAGGTACCGACTCCATAAGGCAACTGTCCAGGGGCAGTTTCTAATAGCGCGGTTATGTACAGATAAAACCAAATCCTTTACTTTCAGTTGTCGATCCTATGATAAAGAATTCCAGAGTTAGGAAATTACACTTTATTAAGCATTCACCATCAACAAGACATTGCCAGCACGACCAAGTGATGAAAGAAATGTCCTTATAAACATCTCTTGTGACCTGGTTTCCTCAACAACAACAAAAAAATCACTAAGGGGAGTGGAGGAGAAGGAGAGGAGCAACTTACAGGTTAAAACAGCCTTAAAAGACGTCAGCCAACCCTACTGGATAGACCTCATTTGGATCCTTTTATACAGACACACTGAAATATTTTATATACACATACTGAAATATTTACCAACGAAATATCATTTCTGGATTTGCTTCAAAGTAACACAGAAGGGACAAGTAGGTGAGACTACAGATCAAAGTAAACTAAAGCTATAAATGTTACTAATTGTTGAAGCTGGGTGAGGGGTACAGAAGTTTCATTTTACTGATCTGTCTACTTTTATATGTTTACATTTTTGCCATAATAAAAAGTTAAAAGAAAAATATCAAGTTGTTATAAGTCCTCAACACAGACAATATGCTCATTTTACTTACAGTTAGTGACCATTTTTAAATAACTTGAAACACTAAAACTTTCTAAACGAGTTGGCAAAGAGGAGAAAAAGCAGATGGAGGAAAAGCAAGAGTAGGGCCGTATGCAACAAACTCCTGGCACTCTTACTGATTTTAAGTAGATTCTAAATTGGCAAAAATAAAATGAAATTAGAACAGTGATCTTACTAGGTACTGACTGTAACGGATCCATAAGTCTGGGACAAGGCAGTTCTCGACCAGGGCGCGCTCAAAGATCAACTGAATGCGAGCAGGATCGCCAATTTTCATCTCAAAATCGATATATGCTTGATATTCTGCCAGCCTTGGTGCCTCTGCCTGCAACTGGAGTACAGGAAAATTGTATTGAATTTAGTTACTGGCAGGAAGCACAACACATCTGCAAATAAAATAAATTTTGGCAAAACTGGCTACAGTAACTATGAATCGCCAAATCCTCACTCTCAGAACCACTCCACTATGGCCTCTACAACTTCTTGAGCAAAACAAGAGTCTTCTCATCTGGTCCAAAGTGCCAGTTCATGGCAGTCGCTACAAAGGCTCCATAAACTCTTTTCTAAATCCATTCCTAGACCACAGGGAATTAAGTAGCCCATCAATCAGGAACTGAGTGAAAGAGCAACACCTTTGCCAGTGACCACTGTCAACCACCCTTCCAAACCAGAAGTCATGTTCTTGGGCTACTGAGTAGAGTTAATACAACCAAACTGGAAAATTTTGGTGCCTGATGCTATTTCAGGTTTCTTATTCCAAATATCAGTTCCTGGAAGAATGTAGATAAATGCAGAAGATGAAGGCAGCTGTGCTGAATGTTTAATGATCCAAAGACATACAATCAAATTCTTTTTAGAAAAAAATCTTATTCGACATGTTTTCTCTTCAGGCACATTTTGCTGATGGCCATGACATAATTGAATGATCGAAGTTTTGGGAAGCACAGGTACATGCAAATCATTTACACATGAAAAAGAAAGGATGAAGCAGTGCAGGAGAGTAAGAGAACACACAGACTCCATATGTAGAAAGGGGATGTTTCAGGGCCTCCATTTCCAGTAACGAGGAAGAATTAGTTACCCAGACACACTGTACCATTCAAAACAACTAAAACTGCTAAATTAAATATAATATCTTCTTAAAAGTCATCAACAAACTGGCAAAGAAACAAGAAATACTAAGGACTAAGGACAAAATCTAAATGAGGGTGGCAAGCTAAGTAAACATTAACCTTTTGCTGGCTTGACGTATATTAAGAATCTGACCTTCACAATCCTATTGTTGGCAAAGAAAGATAGAAAAAAAGAGTCAAGAAGCCCAAAAAACTTCAAGCCAGTCCACACATGGACCTACTGCAGTGAAATTAGAGGACAGCAAACCAAATCAATGAGATCTTAAAAGCAGTCAGACAAAAAAGTGACTACCTCTGAAGAAGCAAGATTTATACAAACCGCTGACTTCTCAACAGCAACAACAGACATCAGAAGACAGAAAGATACAATCAATTGCTGAGAGGACACATTGTCCGTCTAGAATTCTTTTGCTGTTGTCGGTCTAGAATTCTATAGCCTAAGAAAATAATTTTCAAGAAGGGAAGCAAAGACCTTTTTGAACACAGAAAATCTGTTACCAGCAAATCTCCCTTGCAGGGGACTCTAAAGGTCAAGTGTTGAAGACACTGGACAAATTTATAATATTATTATAAAGCTTTACAGAAAGACAAGATATAAGTAGCAGAAACCTATATATGTTCATAGATTGGAAGATGTAAATTATTCCCCAAATTGATCTCCAGGTTCAATGCAATTCCAATTAAAAAAAAAAAGATTTTAAAAATATAACTAGAAAAGCTGATTCTAAATCCGATGGAAGCATTGAAGGCAAAAAAAAAAAAAAAGCCAAGATCCTCTTGAAGAGGAAAAAGGTGGATGGGACTCACCCTATCCAAGAGCAAAACATTATAACTCTCATCATTACAACAGTGTAACATAAACCAGTGGGACAGAACAGAAAATCCAGAAGAAAGACCCACACATAAATGGACAGCTAATCTATGACAGATGTGGCACTGCACATCAGTGAGGGGAAGAAGGAATGATCAAACTCAGTACTAGAACAACTGGTTCTCCATATGGAAAAATGAAACCAGACGCAGTCTCATACCACTCAAAAATCAATCCCAGGTGGATGAGGGCCTAAATATGAAACAGAAAACTATAAAACTTTTAGAAGAAATTAGAGCTAAGTAGGGAATATTTTTTAAATAAGCACAACAAAAGCACAACCAAAAGGGAAAGAATTTTAATCTAATTGATCACTAAGAACTGTTCATCAAAAGACACTGTTAAAAAATAAAAAAGTGAAAAGGCAGTTGCAGTGACTCACGCCTGTAATCCCAGCCCTTTGGGAGGCTGAGGCAGGTGAATCACCTGAGGTCAGGAGTATGAGACCAGCCTGGCCAACATGGCGAAACCCCGTCTCTACTAAAAATACAAAAATTAGCGGGGCTTGGTGACAAGGGCCTATAATCCCAGCTAATTGGGAGGCTGAGGCAGGAGAATCGCTTGAACCTGGCGGGGCGGAAGTTGCAGTGAGCCGAGATCACGCCACTTCACTCCAGCCTGGGTGAAAGCGAAACTCCAGTCTCAAAAAAAAAGAAGTGAAAAGACAAACAACTGGGGAGAAAATCTGCAACACATACAGCCTAAAATAAGACTTAAGACAAAGCACTCCCACAAATCAATTAGAAAAAAGATACATCAAAAGGGAAATGGGTCAAAGACTTTTTTTTTTGAGACGGAGTCTCACACTGTTGCCCAGGCTGGATGGAGTGCAGTGGTGCGATCTCGGCTCACAGCAACCTCCACCTCCCGGCTTCAAGCGATTCCCCTGCCTCAGCCTCCCAAACAGCTGGGATTACAGGCGCCCGCCACCATGCCCAGCTAATTTTTTGTATTTTTAGTAGAGACGGGGTTTCACTATGTTGGCCAGGCTGGTCTCAAACTCCTGACCTCATGATTCACCTGCCTTGGGCTCCGAAAGTGCTGGGATTACAGGCATGAGCCACCCCGCCCGGCCCAGACTTTTTTTTAAGAAATAGGGTTTTGCTTTGTCACTTAGGTGACAATGCAGTGGCATGATTACAGCTCACTGCAGCCTTGACCTCCTGGGCTCAAACAATCCTCCTACCTTCGCCTCTGGAGAAGCTGGGACTACAGACACATGCCACCAAGCCCGGCTTTTTTTTTTTTTTTTTTTTTTTTTTTTTGGTAGAGACAGGGTTGTGCTACGCTGCCAGGCTGATCTCAAACTCCTGGGCTCCAGCAATCCTCCCGCCTTGGCCTCCCAAAGTGCTGGGATTATAGGCATAAGCCACTGTGCCCAGCCTGAACACTTTAACACGCACAAAAATTTGAATGGCCAATCCACGTGAAAAGATGCTCAACTTCATTAGTAACCAAGAAAATACAAATTAAAACTACAATTTCAAATTCATCAAATTAAGTAAAATTTAAGTATGACCAATATCCAAGATTGGCACAAGCAACGAGAACTCTCAGATACTGCTCACAGCAGTGCAAACTGATAACCTGGAAAACACTTTAACATCACCCTATGATCCAGCAAAGTCATTCCTAAGTACGTATTCTAGAGAAACTCTTTTTCATGTGTACAAGGAGATACACACAAGAATGTTCAGAGTGGCGCTGCTCCTTCTCCTAGCAAAAACCTGGAAATGACCCAACTATCCAGCAACATGGATAAATACATCGCAGTACACAGACAACTTTACAGCAGTGAAAACAAATGCACCGGAGTTATACTTAGCAACATGAGTAAAACCCAAAAGCATGTTCAATGAAAATAAAATATACAGCATGATTCCAATATATAAAAGTTCAAAAGCAAGCAAAATTAAACAATATATTAATTAAGGATACTTTCATAGCTTGTAAAACTATAAAGAAAAGCAAGGGAATTATCATCACAAAAGTCAGGAAAGTGATTACCTCTCGGGAGAGGGAGGAGGAGGCAATCGGAGAGGGGCACATAGGAGACTTCTAAGGTACTGGCAATGTTCTATTTCTTAACCTGGGTGGTAGGTACATGGATGTTCACTTTATTATTAGTATGTAAACTGTACGTATACATTTATACACTCTATATATTTCAGAATAAAACATTTTAAAGATACTGTTTAACTCGCAACTATCCATCAGGGAAAGGTTTGTAGAGAGACGTTTACTATAAAAGAAGCCAACACTTACCAGTGCTTCTTCATAGGGTTTATATTTCTCCAGCTGCTGTAGTGCTTTGTTATAGTTCTGAATTACTGACTCTGGTATTGGGTCTTCTGACCATTCTTCATACTCTGCAAATGTGGCCTCCATATCTATTGAAAGATGGATTCAGCCCCGTGGGTCTTGCCATTGGGCTTTATCAACCCAAACACAGATTAAGCCATGAGACTCAGGTGCCACTAGCCCCTCCCACATCTGTGGCATGGCAGCTCTTACTGATCAAATTCTGATTTCTGCTGAGCCCAAACCTGTCTGTAGAATCTGTCTTAAAACAATGTCCCAGGCAACCCTCCCAGCTAATTAATCAGTCAATGACACTAGTGGCAACGATTTAACAACACTTACCCAGTGTTACCTATGTTCTACCACTTCACATCCACTAACTCATTCAGTCATCCCACTCTACAAGGTAGTCTATTGTGATCCTCATTTTGCAGTTGAGGAAACTGAAGCAGAGGGTTCAGTTGCTCGTCTACAGTTAATGGTAGAGCAAGGCTGTGAACCCAAGCAGTCTGGCTCAAGTTCGCACTCTAATCATTATGCTAGGTTGTTTCACGCTGGTAGGTGAAATCTGCAAGCCGGCTCAGCTCTAGTGTTTTCTGCATGATACCCAACCATTTGATTAGACGACTACTTTATAACTTGTTAAATCCAATAAACCATGAAGAGAAATAACATGTGGGCTCCAGTAAAGTTGCCCAGAGGTTCTGAGTATGTACAACACATGCCCGTGTCTAGGGAACAAACACAACAGCCATGACAAACTCTTCCCATACTCAGAAAAATCCTCCCAGCACGCACACACTCATAGCTCCAAAGACTCAAAGGCTTAGATTGCCAAAATGTATTTACCAAATAAGGAAACTCTTTACCAAACCCCAAGAAACTCACTTATGAGTACTTCCAATCAACTGCACTTCTGAACCAAATCCCTCCCATAGAGGAATGATCTAAACTCATGTAAAATTCCTGCTGTTATGGAAGAGGTTACTTGTGAAGAGAAAATGATTATAATGGAACTCTTGTTCAATGAAGTTTCCCCAAAAAATACAGGTGTCATTCACTATTCCTTTCAGAGACCCTATCTCTGCCCTTCCAACTAGGTCTCAAAGGAGAAAAGAGCTCTCACCTGGGAGTCAGGGAGTCTGGCTTCCAGTCCTGCCTCTGACCCTCACAACCCTCTTAAGCACTAACATTCAAGATGTTTTTACCAAGGACCTCATCCAAAGAGACAATATCCAAGGAGAGTAAGAACACCAGCTTTACCTGCCTCACAGGATGGTGGGAAAGGTCTAACTACATGTTGTTCCCCAAAGCATTTTAAAAACCATAGAGGGCTGGCTGTTGACATGTCAGTTTCTCTTACCATAGAGTGGGATCGCCAACTGTCGCCGGAAAAGACTGTGGACTTTCTCAAGCTGTGAATCAAAGGTTTGTTCCCGGTCAAAAGGGGAAAGGAAGCCAGCTACGGGCTAAAGAAGCAAATTAGTAGTAAATGACAAACTGTGGTTCTTTCTTTTTCTTTTGAGAAGGGTTCTTGCTGTCACCCTGGCTGGAGTGTGGTGGTGTGATCACAACTCACTACAGCCTCACACTCCAGGCTCATGCAATCCTCCCACCTCAGAGTCCTGAGTAGCTAGGACCACAGGCATACGCCATCATGCCCAGCTAATGTTTTAGTTCTTGTAGAGATGGGGACTCACTACATTGCCCAGGCTGGTCTTGTACTCCTGAACTCAAGTGATCCTCTGGCCTCAGCCTCCCAAACTGCTGGAATTACAAGCATGAGCCACCGCACTTGGCCAACTCTGGTTCTTTCTACTTCAAAAAATATCTCAACAAATTTTCAGTTCAAGCTAAAAAAATTTATACGACCTCTTCCATACATATTGTACCAAATGCTAGAAGGGGTATAAAAAAAGGTTATCTATCACCCCACCACTAAGGGATTGGCAAAGACCATTTTGTTAACTATATGAACTGCAAGATTCATCATGGACATGTGTTTCAAAATAATCCTTCCAAGGAGACTTACAAAGACAGCCCCAACCCGTTCAGAGACAACCACAGGTACTCACCCGAGCAGCTTCCACAATCGCACTTTCAAACTCTCGGTAAGCCTCCCAGAGGGCGAGTCCTTTGGTCATATGTAAACCAACAGACGAGAGAGCCCTTTCAAACACGGAGCGAACTTTCTCAAGGCCACCTTTCTGACCAATCCCACCAACTGAGTACTGGCCATACTCTAGCCAAATGTTAGGACCTAAAAATAAGAAGTGTTCAATTAGTTTGGGATATAAAATACCCAAATATCAAAACTGATGCATAACAAACGAAATGTGCCTACCAAAAAAGTACTCAGACAGCAGCACTAAATGACAGTGAAGGCCTAACAGCAGAGATGACCATAAAGGACTAAAAAACATTACAGTCTGGGGAAGACCATAGATCCTCAGAAAAAGATAAATGGTGCTATTAACAATGCCTGTGAGAGAGTAAGAAGGGGGTAACAGGATCA
Source organism: Homo sapiens (assembly GCF_000001405.40). Lineage (NCBI taxonomy): Eukaryota > Metazoa > Chordata > Mammalia > Primates > Hominidae > Homo > Homo sapiens. The sequence goes on from NC_000012.12 coordinate 108,545,579, forward strand.
TCAGAAATCATGGGAACACCATGCACTGCTAAAATTATCAGTGGCTCTAAAAGAAGACTCATGGGCCACAGAGCAGAGATACAGGTATAGTTTTTAAAAACACATTTGGCCAGGTGCGGTGGCTCACGCCTGTAATCCCAGCACTTTGGGAGACTGACGTGGGAGGACCACAAGGTCAGGAGATCGAAACCAGCCTGGCCAATATGGTGAAACCCCGTCTCTACTAAAAATAGAAAAATTAGCCAGGCGTTGTGGCAGGCACCTGTAGTCCCAGCTACTCAGGAGGCTGAGGCAGGAGAATCGCTTGAACCTGGGTAGGGGGGAGGTTGCAGTGAGCCGAGATCACACCACTGCACTCCAGCCTAAGCGAAAGAGTAAGACTCTCTCTCAAAAAAAAAAAAAAAAACACACATATAATATAGTTTTATATTCATAAAACACCGCTTATTTTCATTATTCAGATTATAAACCAAAAAACTGTGAATTCTTCTTGGCTTGTAAAGATACACAAAAAATTCTCTATCATCTCAGAACAGTCTATCTGGTTAGTAGCAATGCTTCTCACAGGGGGACTGCTCCCATTGGGAAATCAACAAGGAAGAGGGTACGAAATCTGAAAGGGGAAATTGTTTGTTTGTTGAGACACAGTCTCGTTCTGTCGCCCAGGCTAGCGTGCAGAGGCATGATCACGGCTCACTGCACCCTCTACCTCCTGGGTTCAAGCAATTCTCCTGCCTCAGCCTCCCAAGTAGCTGGGACAACAGGAGCATGCCACCACGCCTAGCTAGTTTTTTGTATTTTTAGTAGAGATGGGGTTTCACCGTGATAGCCAGGATGGTCTCAATCTCCTGAACTCGTGATATACCTGCCTCAGCCTCCCAAAGTTCTGGGATTACAGGCGTGAGCCACTATGCCCAGTCTGAAAGGGGAAATTTTTTTAATGCTTTTTTTTTTTTTTTTGAGACAGAGTCTCACTTTGTCGCCAAGGCTGGAGTACAGTGGCACAATCTCGGCCCACTGCAACCTCCGCCTCCTGGGTTCAAGCAATTTTCATGCCTCAGCCACCTGAGTAGCTGGGATTACAGGCCTGCATGCCACCCCGCCCGGCTAATTGTATTTTTAGTGGAGATGGGGTTTTCCCCATGTTGGGCAGGCTGATTTCGAACTCCTGGGCTCAAGGGATCCGCCTGCCTCAGTCTCCCAAACTGCTGGGATTATAGGCATAAGCCACCATGCCTGGCCTTAAAATGCTTTTTTTTGAGACAGAATCTTGCTCTGTTGCCCAGGCTAGAGTGTAGTAGCACAACCTCAACTCGCTGCAACCTCCACTTCCCAGGTTCAAGCAATTCTCCTGCCTCAGCCTCTTGAGTAGCTGAGATTACAGGTACGTGCCACCATGCCTGGCTAATTTTTGTATTTTTAGCAGAGACGGGGTTTTGCCATGTTGGCCAGGCTGGTCTTGAACTCCCGACCTCAAGTGATCCACCAGCCTTGGTCTCCCAAAGTTCTGGGATTACAGGCGTGAGCCACCACACCCAGCCTTAAAACGCTTTTTAAAAGCATTTTGTCCACAGCATTGTCTGATGTGGTCCCCAATTCACATGGAGAAAATATTTAAGACAATTATACTATATACAAGGGACGGTAAAGAGACTTAAAGGGAGGTGAGTCTTCTATACTTCACTTGCACTGGTAAGATGTCAATACCAGCAGGCGAGGGAGGTCTCTGTGGGGACAGAACAGCTCTGTATCTGGACTGCAGCAGTGGTTAGATGAATCTACACATGTAATAAAATGTCTTTTTTTTCCCATTGTTCCAAGGTCAATTTCCTGGTTTTGATTTTGTATTACAGAAACAAGATATTGGAGGAAACTGGGTGAAGGGAGTACACAAGACTTCTCTGTACTATTTCTGCAACTTCCTATGACTCTATAATTACTTCAAAATAAAAAGGTTTTCTTTTAATGTTTTAATCTTTTTTTTTAAAGCATCCTGTCCAAAACCTCTAAAAACCTATTGAATGTATAAAAGATCAGTGGAAATACCATGTAAGTTCTCACTGTCAATAAATCCTGAGTGTGAGTGTATTCATTCCCTTACTACAAGTGCTTCTTCCACTTTTATTTTAAAATTAAACTTCCTCAATTAAAGACCAAAGACAATGATAAGACAACTCAACTTAAATCTTGCTAATTGTGAAACTAACGTTCCCTTTTCTGGGTAGCAACATCTCATAATACAGTCCTCAACAGCAGACTGATATATATGACATTGCCAGATATCCAAAAAAAGTCCACGGGAACTTACAAATGTAATCCTTCACGGCTTTCTCAAAGAGGTCATACACGTGCTCTCTGTCCAGGCCATCCTGGGCCATGCTGATCTCGTCATGCAGCCACTCCAGCCAGAGCTCTACGAGACAAAAATACTTCCCGCATTAATACCAAAGGGTAGGCTAAGCGCAGGGACTTTACCAAGAGACATCAGCATGCAAACGTTTCATCCATCTTACACAACCTGGCGTTGTTTCCAGAAATTCACTTCTTAAAACCTGAACTAAGCACATAGGAGGTTTTATGCTTCCAAATAAGATCAAATCACTAAAATCATAATATCCTCCACCTGTTAGGCATTTTATATTTTGCAAAGCACTTTTCTCATTCAGTCTTTATCACAATCCTGTAAGGTTGGTGATAGTAACACTAATAATAATGACATCTATCTAAGGATGACAACATGCCAGGCATGTGTTAAGTGTTATACGTAGAATAGCTCATCCTATACCGTCATACATTACAATGCAGAAACTACTGTTGCCATCATTTAACTGCTAGAAAAACTGAGTCTTAGAATGTTTACATAATTTGCTTAAGGTCACACAGCTAGTAAAAGATGTAGCCAGGAATGAATCTAGGTCACCTGACTCCAGCATCTACACTCGGCAGTTATGCTTTGCAGAAGGGAAAAGGGGCAGAGTGGGATCTAGGACCAAAGTGTTCTAAGTACTGCCCAAAGATCACTTATTAATATTCATGAAGATTGAACTACAGAGTTGTTCAGTGCAATTATGTTTCTAATAAGCAAATAAGTAGAAATAACCTAAATGCCCAACTATTCTGGAACAATTAATGTATGAAACATTTACATAAAAAACTGTCTGTAAAAGTTTAAATATATTTACAATTTTCTGGTTTCAAGAGAATGGTTTAAATACATAAATAGTGAAATGGGAAATACAGAAATGAAAGCCAAGTTTAATTACATTACAAATGTTTACCACAACGTTAGAATAAAGAAATCAGAATTCAAAATCCGTGTTATATGATCATAACTACATTTTGCAAAAAACTACAATAAACTAAAAATAGCTAACTCTGATGCGTTTTCTTCTTTCCACTACACTGAACGTTCCAGGTTTTCTACAAGGAGCATGTCCCACTTTCAACATTGTAAAAAATGTGCAAGCCTTGTTTCTGTTTCTAAAAGCAGCCTGACTGCTGAAGCTTACCTTCAGTCAAGGGAAAGATTTCACTCATCTTCTGGCGGGCCATCCTCACCTTGGTAAGCTCCCCTTCCAGCCTGAGCAGTCTGATCAAGTCCACATGGCAGTTGTAGTCATAGACGTTGATAGACAACTAACAGGAAAAGAAACAAGTTGAAATTTAAAACACCGTCATCAAGTAACTTAGCTTTTGTCACTACTGGTAACTACACATATACCTGCCACAAACAAAATAAACGTGCTATCTGAGAAAACCACTGAAACAGCAACCCAGCACGTACCCACAGGTAGAAGACAAAACAATAAAAGAGGCTTTTGTAACAAACATAAAGCTCCCTCAAATCTGTTACAGTTCCTGTTAGAAGACATTTGGGTTCTCTTGGAAATAAAGGAGGCATTCTAATGAAACAAATAAAAAGTATGTGACCTTAGGTAAGTTATTTACTTTCCTAAGCTCTATTTCCTCATCTATAAAATGAGGACACTACTAGTTTCTAGCTCATACCAGGTCTTCCAAGGATTTAAAAAATTTCTACTGTTACACTGGTCTTTAAGAAAAACTAAAAAATAAAAAGGTAATTTCATAACGTCCTTTAGCACATGTGAGGTACACTGTAAGACCTCTTTTATTTTACTAAATAAAAAAGATGGAAGCCAGTTGTGGTGGCTCACATCTGTGATCCCAGCACTTTGGGAGGCCGAGGCAGGTGGATTGCTTGAGCTCAGGAGTTCGAGACCAGCCTCAGCAACACAGTCAAACCCTATCTCTACCAAAAATACAAAAAATTAGCCAGACATGGTGGCATGCACCTGTGGTCCCAGCTACTTGGGAGGCTGAAGTGGATCACCTGAGCCTGGGAGACAGAGGTTGCAGCGAGCCGAGACCACACCACTGCACTCTAGGCCTGGGTGACAGAGCAAGACCCAATCTCAAAAAAAAAAAAAAAAAAAAAAAGATAGAAATCCCTATTAGAGAAACAAGAGTGGCAGCAGGTTGGTATCTGTTGATGCTGAGTGACAGGTACATAAAGTTTTATTTGTACATTTGAAACTTTTCAAACTAAAATTATTTTAAGTTACCATATATCTGAGACAAAGAAAAATGAAAAAAATGTCACTAGCAGACCTACCCTTGAAGAATAGCTAAAGGAAGTTCTTCGAACAGAAAAGTTAGAAGAAGGAATCCTAAAGCATCAAAAAGGAAGAAAGAACAGGAAGAGCAGAAATACGGGAACTACGACAGATTATCCTCCTCTCCTCATGAGCTTTCTAAATCATATGTAATGGAACAAACATTGTAAGAACTTCTGATACCCAACACAGTATTATTTAAAAGTGGGGATGGAAAGAGAACTGAAATGGAAGATTCCCTCACTTCATTCAAGTGGTAAAACACGGATACCATGTAAGTCAACTCCGTATATTTTAATACCCAAAGCAACCACTGAGAAAACTATTCAAAGCAATTACACTAAAAATCACCTTAAATAAATCAAGATGGCTGGGCATGGTGGCTCACACCTGTAATCCCAGCACTTTGGGAGGCCAAAGCGGGCAGATCATGAGGTCAGGAGTTCAAGACCAGCCTGGCCAACATGGTGAAACCCTGTCTCTACCAAAAAATACAAAAAATTAGCTGGGTGTGGTGGCACATGCCTGTAGTCCAGCTACTCAGGAGGCTGAGACAGGAGAATTGCTTGAACCCGGGAGGCGGAGGTTGCAGTGAGCAGAGATCCAGCCTGGGTGACAAAACAAGGCTCCATCTCAAAAAAATAAATAAATAAATCAAGATGAAAATCTAAAAAATATTCAAATAATCCACAGAAAGGCAAGAAAGGAGAAACAGAAGAATGAGAAACAGAAAATAAACAGAAAATAGTAAAACGGCAGGCTTTGGTCTGAATAAACCAACAATTGCCTTAAATGCGAATGGTGCATATATGCTAATTAAAAGGTAGATAATGGTAGAGTGGATAAAAACACAACCCAACTATATGGTGAGTACAAGAAATTCATTTCAAATTCAAAGACACAGGTAAACTGGTTGAAAGGAAAAGGAGAGAAAAAGATAACATGCAAGCATTAATTAAAAAGTTGAAGCGGACATATTAATATCACATAACGTACACTTCAGAGCAAAGAAAATTACTAGAGATAAAAAGGATTATATAATGACACATAATAATAAATAGATCAATCTACCAGGAAGACATAACAATCCTAAATGTGTAGGAACCAAAGAGCGCTTGAAAATTCATGAAGCAAAAACTATTACAGAGCTCAAAGAGACACAGCAGCAATTACATTTGGCAACTTCAACATCTCCCTTTTCAGCAACTGATAAAACTACTAGACACTTGAATATGTTGAACCTGGTCAAAAAGAAGATGAATAAAAGAAAAAGAAAATTAGACAAAAGCAAATTAAAAAATTTTTAAGTTTTTAAAAAGAAAGGAAATTGTTTAATTTTTTTTTAAACTAGGCAGAACAGGGTTATAGAAGAACTCAATAACGCCGTCAACGAACATGACCTAATTTATATAGAGAACAGCCCACCCAACAATACAGAATATGTATTTTTCTCAAGTACTTACGGAACATTCACTGAAGCCATATCCTTGGCCATAAAACAAACCTCAACAATTTAAGAGAAATGAAAACCATGCAGAGTATGTTTTGTGACCACAATGGAATCAAATTAGAAACCACTAACAGTAAGAAAATCTCTGAACACGTGAAAATTAAGTAATACACTTCTAAATAATCTGCAGGTCAAAGAGGAAGTCTCCAAGAAAATTTACAAATTAAAAAAAGTGAATGAAAATGAAATTGCAACAAATCAAAATAAGTAGGATGCTACTAAAACAGTACGGAGGAAAATTTAAAGAACTAAATTCAGTGTATAAGAAGAATTATACACCATGACCAAGTGGTATTTATTCCAGGTTTGCAAGGCTAATTCAACATTTAAAAATCAATTACTGTAATCCAGTGTATCAAAAGGCTAAAGAAAACTCATGGTATCAATAGATGCAGAAAATGCATGTGACAAAATCCAACAACGATTCATGGTTAAAACACTCAGCATGTTAGGAATAGAGGGAAACAACCTCAACCTGATAAAGAGCATCTATAAAAAATCTATCCCATAAGTTGGGATATAGGGTTACCTTAACATCATTCCTAATGGTAAAAGATTGAACACTTTCCTCCTAAAATCAAGAACAAGGCAAGGATGTCTGCTCTCACCACTCTTTTCCAACAAAGTCCTATAAGTTCTAGCCTGTTCAATAAGACAAGGAAAAGAAATAAAAGCTATACAGCTCGGAAAAATAAAACTGTCCTGATTTGTAGATGATATGGCTAAGTAGACAATCTTAAGGAACCAATTAAAAAAAAAAAAAACTCCAAAAATAGTGAACTGAGCAAGGTCACAGAATATAAGATAAACATACAAAAACAAAAAAAAAAACAAAAGAACATGTGGAAACCAAATTTAAAGACATAGCACCATTTACAATCACTCCAAAAAACCTAAATAATTAGGTGTATATTTAAAAAGTTTACAAAATCTGTATGCTGAAAATTACAAAATGCTGAGGAAAGAAATCAAAGACCTAAAAAAAGAGACACTTCATGTTCATGGATTGAAAAACTCAACATAGTCAAGAAGTAAATTCTCCCTAAACTGACTTACAGGCTTACTGAAACTCCAATTAAAATCCCAACAAGGTTTTTTGTAGACCTAGACAAGCTTATTCTAAAATGTATATGGGATGGCAGAGGCCCTAGAATAGCTAAAAATGATCTTGAAAAAGAATAAAGTGGGAGTAATCACTCTACCTGATTGATACTAAAACCTACAATACAGCTACAATCATCAAGGCAGTGTGAGAATGGCAGAAAGATACATAGATGAAGAGAATAGAACCCAGTAACAGACCCACACAAATATGCCCAAATAATTTTTGACAAACGCAATGCAACAGAGGAAAAAAAAAGGCATTTTCAAAAAATGATGCTGGAGCAAATGGATATCCACAGGCAAAACAAATAAATACACCTTGACCTAAACTTCACGCCTTACAGAAATAACTCAAAATGGATCACACTTAAATGTGAAATGTAAATATAACATCACAAAATGTTAGGACAAGAGAAAAATTTCAAGGCAACATCAAGGATCCTTAAGGTGACAGAACTGATCTGTATCTTGACTATATCAATGTCAATACCCAGGTTATTACATATTATAGTTCCTCAAAGTGTTATCATTGAGGGAAACTGGGTAAAAAGTACACGAAAAATCTCTATTATTTCTTACAAGTGCATGGAAATCTACAATTATCTCAAAATAAAAAGGCGAATTGTTTAAAAAGCTTTTGTTGGGATATAGGGATAATTTAAGTCTGTACACCAAGACTTCATTAGTATCTACTCTTCCAACATCTGCCACATTTTAGGAATATTTCCCTCTCCAGAGATAAAAGATTACCTACACTTCATTCAAATTACACTCTACCATCTGACAACATACCCTAATAATCCAGGTACTAGATATTTAATTAAAATACAGAAAGACAGCCAATGAATATGATTACTTGAACTTTAGGATAAAAATCTTAACAATGAAGTAGCCAGTGAACCTTTAAATGGAGTGGGGACAAGGACCAACCATTCAGAGAATACAAATATGAAGGATTACGGGGTTTTGTTCAAGTGTTTAGATTTTAAACAAGAACTCATTATCTTTCTCTACTAATTATAATAGTAAAACCCTTCCATGGCTTCCCAGTATCCTAGGAACAATTTGCAAATCCCTGCCTCATGTGCAATCCCAGCATGCTGGGCTCATCTCTCCAGCTACATCTCAAACCACCGGCCTCTCAACATGGCAGCCAGCTTCGTGTAACTCAAACATTCCAACGTCTCTCCAACCTCAGGGCTAGGCACCTGCTGCTCCTTCAGCCCAGAAGGATCTCTCACCTTCTCTCTGCCTAGCCACCCCTTTTCATACTTCAGGTATAAACTTCACTTCCTCAGAGGGCGCCCCCGGCCCCCCTCCTATGCCACTCTTTCTTAAGTAGCCCCCTATATGCTGCAAGCTGTTTTCCATCTCATCATCGTGTTTATTTCCATCATGACCTAAAGGCTTCATGGGATAAGTACCTTGTATGTCTTATCCTTGACTTGGTTAGATTCTTTACCTACCTGGCACACAGAATTCAATAAATTACATGTCAATCTCACTCAAGAGCATTAATACAAAAATCCTAAATAAAATATTAAAAAATCAGAAATGTATAAAGAGAACAATACATAATGATCAATTTGGGTCTATCCCAGGAATGCAAGGGTGTTTTTACACTACAAAATCATCCAGTATAATTTTTCCACCATCAGATTTGAGGGAAAAAAACATGATTACCTCAATGAAGAAATAGCATTTGATTAAAACATCCATTCATGAGTCAAAATTAAGAATTAGCAAACTAGGAATAGAAAGGCACTTCCTTAACCTGATTTTTAAAATCTGCAATAAATATATTTTAATAACATATTTATATATTTATTATATTGTTTATTATATATTTATATATTTATATTTAGTAAATTTAATAATACATTAAAATTCCTTTTAAAAAACACAAAAAACTTCCCAGTATTGCCTTCTATTTAACCCTGTACTGGAGGTCTGGGGTTTTAACAATGAGACAAGGAAAAGAAACAGATATAGAGAAAAGAATGAGAACTGTTAATTATGGTCAGATGATATCAATGTATAGTAAACCAAAACTCATCTACAAACAAATCATTTGGAAATAATAAACAAGATTAGCAAAGTGACAAGCAATAAGAGCAATGTATAAAAATCAATTATATACAAAGAGACAAATACTGTATGATTCCACTTATATGAAGTATCTAGTCAAATTCATAGAGACAGAAAACTACAATGGTAGTTATCAGGGGATTGGGAAGGAAGGAGAAGGAGAGCTGTTTAATTGGTAGAGTTGTATATATGCAAATGAAAACTTTGGAGATCTGCTTCACAACAATGTGACTATACTTAACACTACTGAACCATACACTTAAGAATAAGATAGCAAAGTTTACGTTATATGTTTTTTACAATAAAAAAATTACATTTCTATAAACCAGCAAGCTTTAAAATGTAATTTTAAATAGGATAGCATAAACATCAAGCACTATAAAGTACCTAGAAATACATCTAACAAAAGATGTGTGAGACCTCTATGGCAAAATGTTTTTAAACTTGATTGAAAGATATTAAAGACTTGGCCGGGGGCGGTGGCTCACACCTGTAATCCCAGCACTGTGGGAGGCCGAGGCAGGCAGATCACTTGAGTCCAGGAATTCAAGACCAGCCTGGGCAACAGGGCAAAACCCCGTCTCTACAAAAACTGTAAAAATTAGCTGAGTCTGGTGGCACATGCCTGTGGTCCCAGCTACTCGAAAGGCTGAGGTGAAAGGATCGCTTCAGCCCAGCAGGCGGAGGTTGCAGTGTGCTGAGATCATGCCACTGTACTCCAGCCTGGGAAACAGAGCAGGACCATGTCTCAAAAATAGAAAGAATATTCAATACCTAGACGAATGGAGTTATATGCATGTTCTGGGTTAGAATAATCATTATGGCAAAGACGTCAATTCTCCCCTAAATAATCCATAAATTCAATGCAATTCAAATAAAAAAACCAACAGGGTTTTTCACAGACCTTGACAAAATAATTCTAAAATTTATATGAAAGAGCCAAAACACCCTGCAAGGAAAGAAAAAAAGCAGGTAGGAGGATTTGTCTTACCAGATAGCAAGCCTTAGCAATAAGTTAATCAGTGGAATTGGCACAGGATAGACAAACTGAAGAGAGAGCCCAAAACAGACCCATGCAGTTGAAAAACACTATGGCTCAGGTGGCACTTGCTGTTTCAGCTAAAATAAATTCACAACCTATGACTATGACCCCCAGGTTGAAAAACAGTGACTTTGAGAAACTCTCTTTTTTTTTTTTTGAGTCAGGGTCTCACTCTTACCCAGGCTGGAGTGCCGTGGCAGTCACAAATCACTGCAGCCTCAAATTCCCAGGCTCAAGTGATCCTCCCGCCTCAGCCTCTTGAGTAGCTGCTACTACAAGCTCATGCCACCACACATAGCTAAATGTTTTAAATTTATTTTTTGTAAACACAGGGTCTCACCATCTTGCCCAGTCTGGTCTCAAACTCCTGGGCTCAAGGGATCATCCTGCCTCAGCCTCCCAAAATGCTAGGACTACAGGTGTGAGCCACTGCATCTGGTGAGAAACTCTTGTACATGATGTGAACTGCTTTGTATTTATCAAATTACATGCCAAAAGATAATAATCAATTACAGATAAGAACATGATCTCTAAGTTTTAAATCTTAAGACTTTTAGCAATGTTCTCCTGCTTATGATTCATAAAACCTGAGAAGCTGAACTCATCCGATGATCACACGATAGGCTGAAAAGCACTGGACCAGATCAGGACACAAGTGTTCTAATCCCCACTTGTTCTGTTTCCTCATCTGTACCATGAAAGAGCTGGGCTAAAGCTCTGGTTCTTAAATGGGCTATCATGACACACTGATGTTTCAAAATCACCTATCAAGTGTGTCACACAAAGTAACCGCAGTTTGGGATGTTTGAGAAGTGAAGTTTGAGAAGGATACACTTTCTTCATTAAAGAACATTCAAGGCTCTCCCCACCACATCACCAGTCTGAACTCAATAGAGTGTGCTTGCGGAGCACAAACAGGAGTGGGAGAGCACTTGCTAGTCAGTGTCACGAATATCTATGCATGCAAGTGCCCCTCACATGAACACCATGTGTGGATCAGCAGAAGAAAAAGGTATAAAAGTCGCTAAAGTCAAGAAGCTGACTTTTAAGGTGTGGCTTTTGGTGTAAACTTCTGATTTTTAGGGTAAAATGATGAAGATACTATATGTGGACAAGTACTCTGAAAGTACATATATTAAATACATACTGAAATGCACTTAAAAGAGCTATTTCCACATAGTTCAATCTATACTGATAAATGAGTACATATGCTGGTCTATTCTGGTCTTAGAACATCATTAATGACATAGTTTTTTTTTTTTTTTTTTTTTTTTTGAGGTGGAATCTTGCTCTGTCACCCAGGCTGGAGTGCAGTGGTGTGATCTCAGTTCACTGCAACCTCTGCCTCCCGGGTTCAGGCGATTCTCCTGCCTCAGCCTCCCGAGTAGCTGGGATTAACAACATAGATGCTTTAAAGGAAACTTAACCAATCACAAAATGATCTGCTAACTGATTTAACTCCCTAGCAATGTGAAAAATGTGTTATACCTAGCTGTACTAGAATGGGGGAGAAATAATAGAGAGGACTGATGGAAAGAAAACAACTGGTGCAATCAAAGGCAGGGAAGGGAGAATGGAGCAGCACCTATTATGCGCCAAACTGTGCCAGGCGCTTTACGCACATTGTGCCATGCCCCACAACAGTCCCATGAGGAAAGCACTATTACAACCTTCATTTTACTAACTGGGACACCCAAGACTCTGCGAGCTGAAATAACTTGTACAAGGCCTTTCCACTACTCAATGGAAGGCTTGGGTTCAGGGTTGCAAAGCCATAGTCTCCGTACTGCTGCACTGACAAATCTGCCGAAGCCACCATGAAGTGCCACTTTTAATTTCAGCGCACAAACACATATAATGGAAAATATTTGCTTTTGTTAGACAGATACCACAGCAAACTGCCAGCTACCATAAAATATAATCAAGGCCACGTGCAGTAGCTTGCGCCTGTGATCCGAGCACTTTGGGAGGCTGAGGCAGGAGCATCACTTCAGCTCAGGAATTCAGCACCTGCCTGGGCAACATAGTAAGAACCCATCTCTACAAAAAAAAAATATTTTTAATTAGCCAGGCATGGGGGTGCATGCCTGTAGTCCGAGATACTTTGGAGGATGAGCTGGGAGGATCACTTGAGCCTGGGAGGTCCTAGCTGCAGTGAGCCATGATCACACCACTACTCCAGCATGGGCAAGAGTGAGATGCTCTCAAAAAAAAAAATTAATAAACACTGAGGGATGAGAACCAGAACTCTCAAATATGGCAAGGCCAAGTTTCTCACAGACCTATTTGGAAGCAATTCATCATTATGCTCCGCCATAAAAGCAGTTACAGCAGGAAGAAGCAGCTGTGGGATCAGGATGAGGTGGGTGGGAGGCTTGGAGAAACTGGACAAGTCCATTTCTAGACCACAGGACAAAGAGGATAAGGCCAGAGGGTCTTCAGTTCATCACTTGCCAGGTCCTATCCTGTGTGGTCCATTCTAAACTCCACCCCATCCTTGGTGATCTGTGGCAGGACAGGCAACTGCAGAGTACTAGTGGCCAGAGACCTCTGCTCTCCCCTTTCTTGCTCTTTAGCAAGCTGTGTACCCTCACCAAGGACTTAACCTCTCTGGTCCCAAACCTCTCTTTCCCCACCTCACAGAATAGGCTCATCGAAAGGCCCAGGACTAGCAGTCTGAAGAAATGACATCAACAAGGGCAGGGACACAGTCAATCTGGTACCCAGTGTCACGCTGTGTTTGCTGAATGAGTAAGACTAAATTAGCTTCAGCACACTTATTTATAAAAAGTAGAGGGCAGGCGCGGTGGCTCACGCCTGTAATCCCAGCACTTTGGGAGGCCGAGGCGGGCGGATCACGAGGTCAGGAGATCGAGACCATCCTGGCTAAAACGGTGAAACCCCATCTCTACTAAAAATAGTAAAAATTAGCCGGACTTGGTGGCGGGCGCCTGTAGTCCCAGCTACTCGGGGGGCTGAGGCAGGAGAATGGCATGAACCCGGGAGGCGGAGCTTGCAGTGAGCCGAGATCGTGCCACTGCACTCCAGCCTGGGCCACAGAGCAAGACTCCGTCTCAAAAAAGAAAAAAAAAAAAAAAAAAAAAAGTAGAAATGCTAACCACCTGCCAACCCCAACAGGTTCCTCTGACAATCAGATGTAATGGGTGGGACAAGCTATACCAATGGATGACATCACTATCTCATAACAAAAATATCAGTGCCAGAGAGAGTATTATAAGGAAACTGACACTCAGTAAGGTTTAATGAGTAAACTAGATTAGCAACTTCACATTCACTGAGTGATTTCACATCCAGTGTGGCATCTAGTCCACATTTTAAGTGTAAATCCCACTATGAATAACTTAAAGGAAATCATTTCATCATTTGTTCTGAACCTCTGTTTCTTCATCTGTAAAAAGAGAATGCGGGCCGGGCGTAGCGGCTCACACCTGTAATCTCAGCACTACGGGAGGCCAAGGTGGGTGGATCACCTGAGGTCAGGAATTCAAGAGCAGCCTGACCAACATGGTGAAACCCCGTCTCTACTAAAAATACAGAAATCAGCCGGGCGCAATGGTGCGTGCCTGGATCCCAGCTACTGGGGAGGCTGAGGCAGGAGAATCGCTTGAACCAGGGCGGCAGAGGTTGCAGTGACACGAGATGGTGCCATTGCACTCCAGTCTGGGTGACAGGGCGAGACTCTGTCTCAAAAAAAAAAAAAAAAAAAAAAAGAGAGAATGTGCTCCATCTCTTCTGTTTGCCCCCTCCAAAAAACACCCTACCCTCTCCTCCCTGCCCTGTGTCCCCGAGTATAGACCTCATGCACAGGTTTCCTGGCTCTCCAGCTTCCAGATGGGTCTGCCCAGCAGGAGGCACCAGCAGAAGTTTGGTGGGAGGAAGAAAGAGAGGTCAGGGTATTTCTTCCCCCACCTCAATCCTTGACAGGAAACTGGGGCTGCTTCCCTTGAACAAAGTTATCAGCAGGTCTCAGGTGCCCTCTCCACACAATTCAGATCACACCCTTCACCCCTTCCGGCCCAAAGATGGACACCAGGTTCTGGAGTTACCAGCTATGGGATACTAAACCTTCACTCCCGATTTCCCTACCCACACCTTTATTGAGTTTCTCTCAGATCATCCTAATTTAAATGTGCCACCTATTTCCTGCTGAGATCCTGGATTATACAGTAGATATCACCACCTCATAAGGTTACAAGTGAGAGACCATGTTATGACTAGATGCTAGGCACTGAGCTATAGTTACTGTTACAACAATTATATTATGCAGAAATTGTTGCTCCCAATCTGCAGATAAGGAAGTCGAGAGGGTGAGAGAAATTAAGAAATTCTTACAAGCACATACAAGAGTTGAACAGCTAGAACTGAGGCCTTAACCTCCAGAACCAGAAACCTTTCCATTTCTATTATCACCATCGCGGTCAATATTTTTCTTACCACAAGTTTCATCATCGCCGTCATTCCTACATAACAAAATAACACTCTCTTGCGAATGAGTTTATTTCTACTGTTGGACGTGTGGTTAAGAGTGGGAGTTCTGGAATGGGATCAAAGTACAAGGCCTGACTTGCAGGAAGTGTTATCTTGAGCAAGAAACTTTCCTCCACGAGCCTCAGTTTCCTCCAGTAAAATGGGGATAGATAACAGGGCTTCCTTCACAGGGTCGTGGCGAGGATTCAATGAGATAACGTTTGCAAGGCAATGGGCAGGCAGTAAGCACTCAAATCCGACAGGAGCTACTGTCACGAAAAGCGGGTTTGCAGCCTTGGCGGCTTTATCGCCGCCGAGGACTAGGGAGGCGGGCCAGGACATGGGGACCCGAGGACCTGAAAGACTGGAAGATGCCCGCTGCCCACCCCCGGGCCCACCTGCTCCTCCAGTCTCTCAATCTCCAGCTGGTTTTTCTCCTCCTCTTCGTCATATTCCCACTCGTACTCCCCGGGGGAGCTCTCCGCGGAGGAAGCCATGGCGTACTCATCCCCATCGCTCTCGCTCACGCCTTCCTCCTGCTGATCCCACGCTGGCCCCATGGTCTTGTATGTCGCAGCGGCCACAGCCCGCGATAACACCTTCCTCCTTGTCCTAGCCGCCTTAACCTCATCCTCCTCTCCGTCAGCCTTGGGCCCAGCCTTGGACTCAGCCTCGGGTTCTGAAGCCGAGGTTTCGGCCGCAGTCGCCATCTTGCGCTTCTAATGACTCTCGGGTCTTCCCGCGGCCGCCGAAGACCCGCTGAGGCAGAAGCTGCCCGCGGCGCGCGCCTTATCAAAAACCCGTTTTCTTGCCATTGAAAGAGAAACTGGGAACTTAGATAACAGGAAAATCTCCACATACACTAAATTCACATTATTTTATACCCTGTAAAAGCTCCCACCAGATATAAAAACTCATTATAATGGCATGCGTTCCGTCACAACTTCGGACAGAAGTTGGGTCTTTGGGCAGGAAGTGGAAGCCATAGAGGAAGTCATGGAGCGAGAGTGATGTCTGTAGTGAAGAATTTGGCGCCATCTTGAGAAGGTCAAAGTGATTCTTCGATTAAATGCCTTACTTATCGCCTAGTGTGACCTGGCGCTTGGGTTTACTCTCCCCAGCAACTGCGCCTCAAACGCAAAGAAAACTGCAGGTCCTCGGGGAAGGATCGATTTCACCATTCAAGAGAAAAATCCATTTCCCAGATTCCTCCCCTTTATGTAAACGTCTGGTACCTAGTAGACGTTAAATACACGTGAGTTTTCCGGTTTTATAAGATCACATACTGCAAACCAACAGTAAATTACATTAATACGCATTTCTTTAGAAATTCTTAATTGCTAGGCACTGACATATAAATTGAGTTTGCTGTTGTTTTAGAGAGAAAAATAGACATATTCATTTTTTTTCAATCAGGACATGGTATTCGTTTCCTTCTTAAGCTTCCCATTTTTGAGGTAGGAAAGTATTGGTGTGTGTCTCTATCTCTACCTTGCTCCCTCATTAGCAGGCTTAATGGGCAGGAATTATGTCTGTTTTGCTTTCCGTTGGATCCCCGGGTCTAGTAGAGCGCCTTGACACATAGTAGGTACTCGACACAGATGCTGGCTTCATGATGAAGCAATTGTCCTCGAATTAATACAAAAGGGAAGATTCAGACTCAGCGAGCCGGTACCATTCGTCTAGGGACACACAGCCAGGAAGGAACCGAACCAGGATTCTAACCCAGGATTACCCAAGTTCGAATTCTAATTGAACATAAGTCCTTAGCGACCTTGGACGGACTTACTAAACTGCCCTGAATCTCGGCTTCCTTAGCTGCAAAATAGGGTTAGGAAAAGTGGACTCGGTGCTCCTCTGCGCCGCATTCCCGCAGCGGGATTTGTGAAAGCGAACTTGAGCCCCACACTGCAGAAGCCCTGAGGTCCTGTCTCAACCAGAATCCAGCACCCAGGACAAGCCCTCCAGCGACTTCAGACCTTCCCGCTCCCGACCCCGCCCGCCCCCGAGAGGCGTGGTCAAGGCGGGGCCAGAAGGCGGACGCGTGCACGGAGCGGTAAAGCGCAGGCGCAAAGCTTCGGTGACGTCAGAGAGGCGCGCTCCCAGCTCGGAGCCGACTCGCAGACGCGCCCCGCCCCTCGGCGTCGCTCTGGACTGGCGCAGGCGCAAGCCGGCAAGATGGCGGCGGCTGGGGCTTTCCGTCTGAGGCGGGCGGCATCGGCTCTGCTGCTGCGGAGCCCCCGCCTGCCCGCCCGGGAGCTGTCGGCCCCGGCCCGACTCTATCACAAGAAGGTAGGGACAAAAGAGGGACGCGCGGAATGCCGACTCAGCGGAGGCCTGGGCTGGAGGGGCGGCCGCGGGGTTCTGCGCAGCTAGGACTGGGAGCTGTCCCCTCCCACGTCTTTGCCCTGACTCGCTTTCCCTTGCTGCGCAGTGAGGCTCACTGCAACTGATAAACAACAGTTACCGCTCATCGGGCGGCGACTTCCAGGGGGCCCCGCCGCTGGCCGCGACTTCGTGCGTCCCAATTTTAAATTCGCCAACAGCCCAGGAGGCAGGGTCCTGTTGGGACTTGTCTTTCTGAGTCCAGGGACAGACACACCCCCGGAGCGGGCTCCGGCTTCAGCCACTCCGCTGCCCTGGCCAGATGACCTTGGGCTAGTCACTGCGCCTCTCTGAACCTGTTTCCCCAGGTGTAAATGGGGGGCTCTCAGCTGTCCCTTACAAAGGATACTGTGCGTGGAGTCCTGGCATGGTTCCTGGCACATAGGCCCCAGCACGAGGAGACCGTTTCTGTTACTGCTTTAGGAGTGCATAGGGGAGTCAGGCTTGTAACCAACATGCGTAATGTTTTTGTTTTGTTTGGGGGGTTTTTTGGCGGGGAAGGAGGGATAGATTCATAGTCTGCAGCCCCTTGCTGTCTGGTGGCACAAAGTCCCCCAGACGTGAGACTCCCACTCGAGAAACAACTAAAGAATGCCATAAATCAACGTGGCACAAAAGGCCCCTACATTAGATACTATCCTGAGGTCCCTTTTACTTGGAGTCAAAATCCTTAGTCAGATGGGGGGAAAAGGGGACTGGAAGATCGGCGTGCTTACTACTAACCAGTAACCAAACCTCAAGGTTATTAAGGCCTTCTGTGTGCCAGTTCGAATGGATGTTTATTGTGATCTGGCTTCTGCCCTTTCTCCAAGGGCTTCTTCACTCCTCCCCCTCCCGGGGGTGTGTTTTGTTGAGGGTACACCCTGAAGAAACTTGGACTAGCAGCCTTTCAGCAGCCAGGGTGCGCTGCTGCACCAGGGTGATGACAGGCTGTGAAATACGGTAATGGCACTGTTTTTATTTTAAAAGACACATAAACGTACACATTCCATAGCATTGTTCCCTGTGTAACAGTCACCTTAAGGCTTCTAAGAAAGCTTTCCCTCCCTGGGCCATGGTTATTTTTAGAATTTTTAAATAGTAATCATCCTTTGAGGATGGATTTTATTTGAAAATAACAAAACTGCTGTTTGAGCCCAAGTCTGGTGATGTAGGTGGGTGAAAGTCAAGTATTTTTGTAAAAATCCTATGGAACTAAGACATGATTTCACTGATTTTTTTTTCTTCTAGGTATCTCAAATCTGTGAAGTATTGTAGAGGAGACACAAAAGGAATTGGGGGTCACAAATGGTTCTCATTGACATGAGTGTAGACCTTTCTACTCAGGTGAAATTTGGTATTTAGTGATTGCCTGCCAGGTTCAAGATGCTGACCGAGGAGCTTACCATCAAACCAGAGACCAGTACCAATAGAGAGTGAACATGATTTATCTTAACCCTCTCATTTTAGGTTGTTGATCATTATGAAAATCCTAGAAACGTGGGGTCCCTTGACAAGACATCTAAAAATGTTGGAACTGGACTGGTGGGGGCTCCAGCATGTGGTGACGTAATGAAATTACAGGTATGGCTAGTCTTTTTTAATAGTGATAACAATAATCCCTTTAAGTTTACAAAGCACTTGCGCATTTCACTTGGTCTCCATCTTTATTCCTGTGAGATCTCCAAGCATTTCACTTGGTCTCCATTCCTGTGAGATGGGATGAGTCCATGTTAGATATGACTGGAGCAGGGCCTCAATCGTAGCTCTCCTGCTAGGCTAGTGTACTATGCCAACTTTTTCCAAAATAGAAAAGTAATCTCATTTTTGTACTCACTGTATCAGTTTAAATTCTGACTTCAGCCAACTAAAGAGTTTTGTGAATTTTACTGATCAAAGGAAAATCCCAGTGAGCTAGCAGTCCCCAATGAAACAAGAAACACAGTAAATTAAACCTGTCCCCAGATTGGGGGAAACATGAAAATAGTGTCTAGTGCTTTGGGTAAACTGTAGTTGTAGCACCAATCTGCTGCTTCATGGTGAGTGGGCAGCTTGCCAGAGGTCTTCATACCTATCTTGGAATACAGAAACAAAACAGGAGGAAACCACTAAGTGTAATCTGCTGCCCAAGAAAAAAGTATTAACCAGAGACCTTTATTGTGGACTCTGTCAGTGTTTAAAGAGGCCAGATTGCCCCAGCAGCTGTGAGCAGACTTCCACAAATAGAAGTTCATAGCCAAAATGCAGGCCAGAGTCACAAAACAAAAGAATATTGGAGTGGAGGGACATATTTTTCAGCTGATCTTTGTCAGTTGGGCCTGGATAGTTGTCCCTGCATTTCACTTTTCATCACTGAGCTCTTTGAAACAAGGCAAAGTCAGTAATTAATGCCATCACTTAGTGTGGAAAGCAAGCCCAAAGCCCTTGGGGAAGGCCCTGGTGAACCTTCGTGAGTGCCAGGTTCCAGAGGGTGGTCCCAGGACTCACCACTTAACTCTTGTCTCTTTTCTAGATTCAAGTGGATGAAAAGGGGAAGATTGTGGATGCTAGGTTTAAAACATTTGGCTGTGGTTCCGCAATTGCCTCCAGCTCATTAGCCACTGAATGGGTGAAAGGAAAGACGGTAAGGTGGCTCACAAATCTAATGGGTCAAAAACAAGTAACCATGACTTTTTTTTAATATTCTAAATTTTTAAAATTTCTCCTATGCAGATGTTGATTATATTATCATTTCTTCAAATTGGGAATTATGGATCATTCTACTAGGTGTTGTTTGGGTTTTTTTCTTGTTGATCATTTTTATTTTTTTGTTTGTTTGGGTGTTAATTACATATAAAAAAGATCCTCACCTGTCCCTCTAACAAAATAGAATTTAAAAGAAATCTTTGGCTTTCTCTAAGGTTACCAGTGCTCTTATAATTTCTCAAGTCAGAGAGTTGTTATAAGGTAGTTATTTTCTTGTTTATTTCCTCTCATGTTTCAGGAAGGGTTCTAGGTGGCTTTCAAGAATTGGTGAAATAAACTAGCCTGTGTTAAAAGAGGGATTAAATAATCAAAAAGACAGCAAGGGTGGGGGCAAAGTGAACAACGAAATCAGAACAGTGATCCAGGTGGCTGATCGCAAGCCCTCTAAAGGCAGAGATAATAAAGAGCTAGAACTTCTTTTTCATCCCTTTGTCTCCCAAGTGTCTTTCCCTGGTAGCTGCAGAGGTCAAAGGTCCCAAACACAGTGAAGAGCTGGACTTTCTAAAATCCAGTTGCTGTCAAAACCTCTCAGAAAAGCCAACCAGCAAGGCACTCATCTTTGCTGCCCCAAGGGACCAGGTTCAGGGAGCTGAGTCACAGAGGAGCATGCTTGGAAGCTGGCCAGCTCCACAGCAGAGCAGTTTGCCAGGCCACGTGCCACCTGCTTCCTGTGGCTCACGGCCTTCTGGCTGGCAAGCCCCTGTGGGCCAGGAAGCTCAGACCTAACCTGCTGTGGCAGGAGGTAGCTCTGAAGTGATTTGTCAGGAACTGTCCTCAGGTGAAGGGAGAAATGAGACAAGGCACTTTTGCTCCCAGAACCTGGCCCTTAGGGGACTGTGAATTGTGATCAGAAAATGGGAGAGAGGACATTTCTTTAACCTTGAGATCTCCCATCTGAGTTTCAGGAGCAGAACCTGAATCAACCAAGAAGGGTTAGCAGAATTGGGAAACTGAATGATAGACATAGTCAAAGAGTCTGGCTGTTGGGAAATCTGGTTTTCTGTAAGGCAGTGGGGCACTGTTCTACATGGGCAAGGATCTGCCTGCCTCACATTATCCCCCAGGGCTGTCAACCAGACCCCAGGCATCCTCTTTAGTTGATCTGGAGGAGATGCTCCTATAGGCAAAGGGGACACCAAAGAGAGCATTCGGCCTGACTCGGCTGTGCCACTGCCACTGTGCTACTTACCTGAAATCTTCCCAACCTCTCTGATGCCATTCGGCACTTCTAGTCAAAAGGATTTAGGCTAACATTTGGTATGAGGACATCGGAGAAGCTGATATTCACAAAACCAGCATAGGAAATCACTACCTTTTAAGGAAGAGATTCCTGTTACAGGCCACAAGCAGATCCCTAAGAGACTTCTCACAGGTTCCACTCCTGACTTAGAGAAGTGTCTGGGCTGTCTTTGCTTACCCAAGCCAGGCAGTGCAGCTGTGTATACTTCATGCTTGAGAATCCCAGCTGCAGCTTTGATAAAGTGGGAGTCCTGAGAAGACCCTTAGCCGTTTGAGTTATTAAACAGAAATCATCCCCACCAACCCTGAGAGCCTCTTTGGCCTCCCTTTTTTATTGGCTGGCCCTCACAAGATAAAGTGTTGCTAAAACTGCCCATCTTTCCATTATGCCTCTCAGGTGGAGGAAGCCTTGACTATCAAAAACACAGATATCGCCAAGGAGCTCTGCCTTCCTCCCGTGAAACTGCACTGCTCCAGTAAGTCTCTGCTCTCCATACCAGTCAGCTGGGACATTTGGCAGTAATTTCAACTTGGTTTGCAACAGTCCTTTTAGATCATGGAGCCCACGTTTGTAACCCTCAGAATTAGAGCTCATGAGTCTGTCCTTATAACCTGCAGAGGGTTAGAGCCCCCATGGTCTCACATTCATCCCTAAGAGAATCATGCCAGAAGGAGGTATGCACCAGCCATCATACTGAGCACTTCATGGGCGTAATTTCTAAACCTCACAAATATCCTTGAGTGCACAGTAGATGTCATTACTTCCCTCTTATGGATGAGGAAGCTAAGGCTTGGGTTGAGACGCCCACATCACATGGCTAATAAGTGGAAGAGCCAGAATTTAAGCTCCAATCTTTGATTTCAGAATCTGTGCTGTTTCCAGCAGAGGAGAAAACTCAGCTTTCGCCATAATCCTGTTTCCTGTGTATTTCTTCACTTCCTGTCTGGATGGTATTCCTGTCGGGGTCTGCATCTGTATATATGGAACAACTAAGCCCAGTTGTACAATGTCCCCCTCCCTGCTATCCTAAAAAAAAGCCCAGATGCCTTAAGACTTGTACTTGGCTTTCCAGTTTGGTCTCTGTATTAAATCTAATGCTTTTTCCATCATTTCTTAACCTTCTCAGGGAAAGAAGGAATGAGAAACATTAGCCTTAATGCATCGATGGAGGTTTACTAACCAAATTAGTTAAAAATCAGCAGAGAGTCAGGCCTCTTGCCAAGGTAATACTCACAGCAGAAGAGCCAGGTGCCGGGGCAGACACACTAACTCATTCTTCAGGAAGCCTGGTCAGACCTAAGTTCTTTCCACTTGATCTGGAATTTTAAGTACCCATAAAGAAAGGTCATCACTTGTAAACATTTTCACATGGTTTCAGGAAATCCCCAGCCCTTTTATTAGGCCTTTTTAGGTACTGAAACCTTTAGCTGATGTTCTCTGTTATTTGCTTGCTTTCTGCTGTCATTCCAGCTCTCTCAGTTTTTATTTTCCCCATAGCCTCACTTTGAATATTGACTCCTAAATAAAAGTGGTCAAACTCTCGATCACTAGAGGGTGATGTGGCAAATGCCATCCCATCAACAGATTGACATGATCTTTTTTCCAAAGGGCATGTCAACTTTTTTATCATGACAAGATTTTGTCCAAAGCTAGACTTTGATGGGAGCAGGCAAGAAGTAACATTTCCTGTGTCCCTACTATGTGTCAGACATCTTCTGTAAGTCCCCACACTATCCTGGCAAGAAAAGCATGATTATCCCAGTTCTATAGAAGAGAAAGTAGGGTCAAAGAGGCTAAGGAACTAGCCTGGGATCACAGATTTTTAACCCTAGTCTGTCTCCAGGATCACCCGCAGGAGTAACTCAGCTCAGGAAGCAGCTGCTGACGTGCCCAGCAACTCCTCACCCCAGCTTTCTGGCTTGGTTACTCCATTAGTCCCCACCAGCACCACTTCCTCCCAGCTCTTAAAGATTCTATTCCCAAGTCCATTTCTTTCACATCTAGAAACTTAGGCTTCTTTCCTTCCGTTACTTCCAGTGCTGGCTGAAGATGCAATCAAGGCCGCCCTGGCTGATTACAAATTGAAACAAGAACCCAAAAAAGGAGAGGCAGAGAAGAAATGAGCCCTCCCTCGGCGAAGCCTCCAGCAGGCCACACCAGCTGTTTCCCACCTGCTGTGCAGTCACCTTAGATGTTCAGAAGCCGCTTCCTCTCCACTGAAGAGCTATGAGATACGCACAATACTTGCTGTTCACGTTATGACTCTCATGCAAGCAAAATACACAGTTTCATTGTTCTGAATCCTGTGGTTTCTTTCAGCCCACTTTTATCGCCTTAACCTAGTTAATGTATATTTTGAATTGTGTGTATGACCTCAGAACTGAAATTGATAATGAAGTTGCAAGTTTTGATAGCCCGTGAAGTGCATAAGTATCTAATTTTACCTGAATTGATTTGGGGGGAAATTACCAGTAGAATGCCTTGGTCTGAATATTTGATAGAACCAATTGTTGTACATAAAACAGATTGCGCATATATATATATGTATAAAAAATAATAAAATAATGGAAGATGATGGTGTTCTCTAGTAAGCCTTGTCTCTTGGGCCCATCATTCACCCTGAAGTGGTGCCCAAAGCCCCTTGGGGTTCCCAGAGGTTGGACCGCAGTGACATACACAGCTCTCCAAGCAAACAAAGACAAATATACGTAATATTTTTTGGAACAAGGATGAAAGGAGATGATTATCGCTTGTCATTGTTCTTTGTGTGATAGTAGTTGAAAGCTCAAAGTAAGTCTTGAAGATTCTTTCTGTAATTTCACTGGTTGCTCAAATCTAAAAAGCATTAGCTTGGCACCCTAAAGCGGTAGACCAGATACATGAAGAGCACCTCGGGAATGAGTTTAAAATGCGGATTTCTAGGCCCAAGTTTCTGACTTCTGTCTGGGCAGGTAATTCCAGAGCCCCTGACTTTTAAGAACCTCTTGGGTTTTTTGTGGTCGTAGATGAGCCAAACTTTAGGGAAGAAACTTCTGAATGCTGTGTTCTGCATAGATGTAGTATCTTAAGTGGTTCATTCTGAACTATCTGTACCTGCATAGTACACCTAAGGTTGTTTAAA
Organism: Homo sapiens; assembly: GCF_000001405.40. Lineage (NCBI taxonomy): Eukaryota > Metazoa > Chordata > Mammalia > Primates > Hominidae > Homo > Homo sapiens. Next base: position 108,569,915 of record NC_000012.12, read on the forward strand.
AAACATTCATCCAGCCGGGCGCAGTGGCTCACACCTGTAATCCCAGCACTTTGGGAGGCCAAGGCGGGTGGATCACGAGGTCAAGAGTTCAAGACCAGCCTGGCCAAGGTAGTGAAACCCCATCTCTACTAAAATTACAAAAATTAGCCAGGCATGGCGGCACGCACCTGTAATCCCAGCTGCTCGGGAGGCTGAGGCAGGAGAATCACTTGACCTGGGAAGTGGAGGTAGCAGTGAGCCAAGATCACACCAGTGCACTCCAGCCTGGGAGACAGAGCAAGACTCCGTCTCAAAGCCAAACAAACAAACATTCATCCCTGGCTTGGGCATAAGTCTAAGCACGGGCCCTCCTACCCTGATGTCTCCCTATTTTTAGCTACCCATAGTCATGCAAATCTCAATAAAGGATGCCCTATCTTCTAGTGAAAATGGGTTATTGAAATATTGACTGCCATAGTCTCAAATGTTCAGCTTCAAAAGTAAGATGTGTTTGTTTTTTCTGGTGGTGGTTTTTTTGTTCAGGTATAGGCTGGCTGCCTCTTAAATATACCTCCCTTGTTTTTTTTGTTGTTTTTTGTTTTTTTGTTTTAATGCTCTGGGTTCTGGTGGAGGGCACAGAACTTCAAAGACTGTTCCTTCTGTAGTCTGTGAAGGCAGCCACAGACCAGGGCCTTTATAGGAATCTCAAATTAGAACCCTGGGTAGAACCATGTAAAATTGTCCTGTGTGGCATGTTCTGCAATTTAATTCACAGTCCCTCTAGACTGAGCTTGTCTCTCCCTTCTTTATTACATGTGGCACCACCACAATTCCCCACCACTTTTCTTTGTGATTTTTTTAATTTAAATGAGACATTTCTGTCCCAGTGAACATCCTCAGAGTTGAACATCAGGAGGAGCTTATAAACAAAGCAATATTCCCAGAAGAGCCCAAGTCTCTAAACGTGGTTGTACTGCTAAAACAAATGGATATTTTTTAAATTCACATTAAAGACACTCTTTCCCCAAACAAATCTAGTTTGAGCCACATGAGGGCATCATGTGCCCTTCAGTGAACTCAAGTCTAGGGGTTTTTGCAGCCTCCAAATAGGTCTTAGCATCTCTAAATAAACCTGTCCATGGAAAACCTCCACAGATAAGTTAAAATGGTCTGTCAAGCACCTGTGCTCTGTTCCAGGCCCTTACATCTGTAATCCTGTTAATTCTCATGACAGCTGCCTGCAGTGGGCATTGATTCAAACAAGGACACTGGCTCAAGAAGCCAACTGACCCTCAGGCCAACTGGCTTGATCTGAGTGACCCAAAGCCCATTCTTCTGCCTCACCCCTCCTGGCAGAACACACCAGGGATTCAAACTGCACATCAGAGGCTCACCTGTGCCTTGAACATTCAATGAAGAAGCTGAACCAACACAGGTTGAGCCTGATGCATTCTCTTGGCCAACTGGCTGCCAAGCACCATGGCCCTCACGCCAACCCTGGCTCCCACCAGGAGCCTAATTAAATCCTGATGCCAAGTTAAATCCAATGCTCTGGAGGTGGGGCCTGGGCACTGGCATCACCTGATGGGCTGGGTGGGTTTATGGGCAGATGGATGGATGGGGAAGCAGAGGCTCCGAGAGGTGAAATGACTTGCCTCAAGGCACACAGCTAGGAAGTGGTAGAATTGAGCTCTGGCTGAGGTCTTCTGCCCACCTCCCACCCTCTCCTGAGTGCCACACTACAGCTATGACCACATCTCGGATGTAACCTTTCCTAAGTGTGATTCCTGGACCAGGGCCACCCGGGACCACATCCAAATGCACAGTTCTAGAACCTCACATTAAGCATTGTCTTGTAAAAACTACTTGGCCCTAGGATGAATTTTCTTAAAAAGACAAACAAATGAGGCACACTTCTCGATACTTCAGGCCCTTTGAACTTGAGGCAAGAGTGCAGACCTTGTGTCTATCTTCACGACAGAAGAGAAGACTTCTAGGTCCCACCAAGTTTTGGTGGTGTTAGAGGGCCCCTACAGATGAGTTCCAGCCCCAACCAAAGATGGACGTGGAGCACATCCCCTGCCAATGGCTCTTGGAGGCCTGTCTGCTTGCTTTCCCCACCCCCCGAGATGACATCAGCCAGCCCCTCAAAAGGCCACCTCCCCAGAGAAGATCATCTCCACCCAGGGAGCAAGCAGCAGGGCAGAGTGGAGTGAGCTTGGAGTGTTGAATCAAATGCTGGCTACCGCTGTGTGACCCTGAGCGAAAGGCTCAACCTCCCCAAGCCTCAGTTTATTCATCTGCAAAATGGGAAAGATAATAGTACCTACCTGATCAGGTAGACCTGACGATTAAATGAGATAATACATGGAAAGCACATGGCACACAGAGTTCACTGTTGGCCAGGTACAGTGGCCCATGCCTATAACCCCAGCACTTTAGGAGGCCAAGGCAGGAGGATTGCTTGAGCCCAGCAGTTAGAGACCAGCCTGTGAGGCAGGAGAGGTAGTCAAGGAAGTGACCATGTCCTCGAGATGCAGCATCCGTGATGACTGTACAGTCAACACAATAAGCCTCAGCATTCACATTGTAATTGAGCAAAGCTCAAGCAAAGCTATCTTCAGTAGGGACTTTCCCCTCTAGAGAGTGTGCGCACTTTGATTTAGCTGTCCTCAAACTGACCCTTTGCTCATTAAAAGAGTAAAAAACACACCCCTAGGTGGAGATTTAAGATGCGAATGAGACATGCAATGTATGAACAAGCACGTACAGCTACTGTGCGTGGGCACCGAAAGGACCACCCAGAACATGCTTACTAGTAACACCTCTCTCAACCCCTTATGAATAATGATGTAAAACCCCCACAAAGGGAGTCTCCCAGCAATAATCAATGCTGTCCTTAAGAGCAGCCTGCCCTAAATCCTGTCTCTCTCAGGGTGTCCTGTCCTTTCTGTACCTAACTTTCAAAATGTTCTTTTTCCTCTGCAATAAATTACTCTATGCTGCACCTCCCCTTTGCTGTGTGTCTCTTGTCTATATTCTTTTAAACTAAGAAGGCAAGAACTGAGATCTTGCAACAATTGTCAATACTTGGGCAAGATGGCAAGACCCCATCTCTACAAAAAATAAAAAAACTAGCTGGCTGTGGTGTCGTGCACCTGTCGTGCACACTACAGTATCATGCACCTGTAGTCTCTGCTACTTGGGATACTGAGGTGGGAGGATCCCTTGAGCCCAGGAGTTCAAGGATGCAGTGAGCTGTGATGGCACCACTGTCCTCTAACCTGGGTGAGAGAGTGAGACCCTGTCTCTTAAAAAAAAAAAAAAAAAAAAGAGGAAGGAGAAGAAGAAAGAAAGAAAAAGGAAAAAAAAATAGTTCATTGCTGTTATGGTGGTTCTCATTATTACAGGTAACACTTCAGCCCTGACTACATACTAGGCACTGTTGCTGGGTGTTTTATATAGATCAGCTCATTTGCCTCACAAAAATCCTAAAGTACTATCAATATCCCATTTTACAGATAGAGAAACTAAAAGGTAAAATGATGTGTCAGCAAATGGTAAGATCAAGATTCTAGCTCAGAGCTGTTTGATCTAGAGCCCAAGCCCCTGCATGCTATGACTGTACTTTCTCTACTGCTATTTTCACTATTACTATTTGCATTGGTATTATTACAGGCACACCTCAGAGATGTTGCAGGTTCGGCTCCAGGTCACTGCAATAAAGTAAATGTTGCAATAAAACGAGTCACACAAATTTTCCCAGTGCATATAAAACTTATGTTTACACTAAACTGGAGTCTGTTAAGTGTGCAATAGCATTATATCTAAAAAAAAAAAACCCAATGTGCATACCTTAATATAAACATAGTTTGTTGCTAAAAAAAAATGCTAACAGTCATTGGAGGCTTCGGTAAGTCATTATCTTTTTGCTGGTGGAGGGTCTTGCCTCAATTTTGACAGCTGCTGACTGATCAGGCTGGGAGTTGCAGAAGGTTGAGGTGGTTGTGGCAATGTCTTTTTTTTTTTTTTTTTTTTTTTTTTTTTTGAGATGGAATCTCGCTCTGTCGCCCAAGCTGGAGTGCAGGGCTGCGATCGATCTTGGCTCACTGCAAACTCTGCCTCCCAGGTTCAAGCAATTCTCCTGCCCGAGTAGCTGGGATTATAGGCATGTGCCACCATGCCTGGCAAATTTTTTTTATTTTTAATAGAGATGGTGTTTCGCCATATTGGCCAGGCTGGTCTTGAACTGCTGAACTCAGGTGATCCGCCCTCCTCGGCCTCCCAAAGTGCTGGGATTACAGGCACGAGCCACTGCACCCAGCCATAATTTCTTAAAATAAGACAACGCTGAAGTTCATCACTTTGATTGCCTTTTCCTTTCACAAAAGATTTCTCTACAGCCTGTGGTGTTAGTTGATAGCATTTTACCCATGGTAGAACTTCTTTCAAAATTGGAACCTATTTTCTCAAACTCTGCCACTGCTTCACCAAATTTATTTCCTTCCTTCCTTCCTTCCTTCCTTTCTTCTCTCTCTCTCTCCCCTTTCTTTTTCTTTCTTTCTTTTTCTTTCTTTCCTTTCCCTTCCTTCCTTCCTTCTCTCTCTCTCTCCTTTCTTTCTTTCTCTTTCTTTCTTTTTCTTTCTTTCCTTTCCCTTCCTTCCTTCCTTTCTTTCCTTCCCTTCCTTATTTTGAGTCAGAGTCTTGCTCTGTTGCCCAGGCTGGAGTGCAGTGGCACAACCTCAGCTCCCTGCAACCTCCGCCTCCTGGGTTCAAGTGGTTCTTGTGCCTCAGCCTCGCAAGTAGCTGGGATTACAGGCGTGCACCACCATGCCCAGCTAATTTTTGTATTTTTAGTAGAAATGGGGTTTCCCCGTGTTGACCAGCTGGTCTCAAAGTCCTGTCCTCAAGTGATCCACCTGCCTCAGCCTCCTAAAGTTCTGGGATTACAGGCATGAGCCACCATGCCAGGCCCACCAATTATACTTATGTAATGTTCTAAATCATTTATTGTTCTTTCGACAATGTTCACAGCATCTTCACTGGGAGTAGATTCCATTTCAAGAACCATTTTCTTTGTTTATCCATAAGAAACAACTCCTCATCTACAGACTCTAGTTCTAATTCTAGTTCTCTTGCTATTTCCACCACACCTGTCGTGTGGATTCTCTCTCTGTCGCCAAGGCTGGAGTGCAGTGGTGCGATCTTGGCTCACTGCAACCTCCGCCTCCCAGGTTCAAGCAATCCTTGTGCCTCAGCCTCCTGAGTAGCTGGGATTACAGGTGTGTGCCACCACACCTGTCTAATTTTTGTATTTTTAGTAGAGATGGGTTTTCACCATGTTGGCCAGGCTGGTCTCAAACTCCTGACCTCAAGTGATCTGCCCGCCTCCACCTCCCAAAGAGTTGGGATTACAGGCATGAGGCACCGGGCCCAGCCAAAATGTGTTGTTTAATTTTAATAGAGATGGGGGTCTCGCTATGTTACCCAAGCTGGTCTCGAACTCCTGGTCTTAAGCTATCCTCCTGCCTTGGCCTCCCAAACTGCCAGGATTACAAGTGTGAGCCACCACACCCAGCTGAAAATTTGTTGTTTAGTGTAGTCGTCTTCGTCAGTGATCATAGCTAGGTCTTCTGGATAACTTGATGTGATTCTCCATCAGCACTTGCTGCTGCCCCTTGCACTTTTATGTTATGGAGATGGCTTCTTTAAACTTCATGAACCAACCTCTGCTAGCTTCCAGCTTTTCTTCTGCAGATTCCTCACCTCCATCAGTCTCCATAGAATTGAAGAGAGTTAGGGCCTTGCTCTAGATTGGGCTTCGGCTTACGGAAATGTTGTGGCTGGTTTGATCTTCTCTCCAGACCATGGTGATGTGCAATCCACAACAGCAATAAGGCTGCTTTGCTTTCTTTTTTTTTTTTTTTTTTAGACAGAGTCTCACTCTGTTGCCCAGGCTAGAGTGTAGTGGCATGATCTTGGCTCACTGCAACCTCTACCTCCCGGGTTCAAGCAATTCTCTGCCTCAGCCTCCCGAGCAGCTGGGATTACAGGCACGTGCCATCGTGCCAAGATAATTTTTGTATTTTTAGTAGAGACAGGGTTTCACCATCTTGGCCAGGCTGGTCTTGAACTCCTGACCTCGTGATCCACCCACCTTGGCCTCCCAAAGTGCTGGGATTACAGGCATGAGCCACCGCGCCCGGCCAGCTGTTTTGCTTTCTTATCGCTTGTGTGTTCACTGGAGTAGTGCTTTCAGTTTCCTTCAAGTCCTTTTCCTTTGCATTCACAACTTGGCTAACAATTAGGTGCAAGAGGCCTTCCTTTCAGCCTGTCTCAGCTTTCAACATGCCTTCTTCACCAAGTGTAATGATTTCTAGCTTTTGATTTAAAGTGAGAGAAGTGCAACTCTTCCTTGAACACTTAGGAAGCCATTGTAGGGTTATTAACTGACTAATTTCAATATTTTTGTATTTCTCTAGGAATAGGGAGGTTACAGGAGAGGGAGAGAGGGTAACAGCTCATTGGTGGAGCAGTCAGAATATACACAACATTTATTGATTAAGGTCACTGTCTTACATGGGCACAGTTCGTGGTGCCCCAAAACGATTACTGATGCATGATGAAAAGGTTTGAAATATTATGAGAATTACCAAAATATGACACAGAGACACAAAGTGAGTATACACTACTGGAAACACAGTGCTGATAGACTTGCTCAAGACAGGTTGCCATAAACCTTTAATGCATAAAAAACACAGTATCATGGAAGCACAATAAAATGAGGTGGGCCGCAGATTACCATGACTAATACTAACTATTGGTCCTATTACTACTATTGTTGCTACTGCTACTATGAACTATTTTTAAAATATGATCACCTCAAGGCTTCCAAGCTCTGGTGTCTTTGGCATAGAACCAACCCTCACAGTCCAGCCTCCAACATTCTGCAAAGCTGTGGCCTGTCTGCATCCATGCAGGAGACACCCTGACGTGATTTCTGTCACACATGGCTTGACAGGCAAGCTCATCCCACAGCGAGTGGCCAACCACGGGCCACAGCTATTCCCCACACCCATTCTCTAATACCACCACCCCGCCCAGCTATCTTTGGAAATGTCACATTAGACACTCCAGCCCATGGCCTCACCTCAAAGAAACCCAACTCCCAGAATAACTCCAAAAGGCTCCCCAGGTGAGAACAACTTTATTATCCTGGAGCTGCTGGTGCAAAGGGACTTCCAGGGGCCTCCCATCCTGCCCCCAGGACCTCAGTCCTATCCGTCAAAGGAAGCCCCAGTGGGGAAATGGGGCTGGATTCCCTTCTGCCCCAAACCTCCTCAATAGGCAGCCCTATGTCACTGGCCCCTTTGTGGGCAAGACCACAGGACATTAGGGAACGACTTTGGGCAAGGTCTTGGGGGCTCAGGTTCTGATCCCAGCTCTGCTGTGATCTCTCCATGTGACCTTACGCAAGTACTTAAGCTCTCTGAGCTTTGGTTTTTCTTTCTGAAAAAACAGGAGACAACTAGCTCCTAAGTCATGGATTATTGCGAGGATTAAATAAATTATCCCATGTAAAGTGAAAAAAGCACAGTTCCAGGCATGTAGTAGGTGTTCAATAAATGTTGGCTATCATCACCATCCTCACCATCACCATCACCACCACCACCATTACCTTCATCATCACCATCCTCACCATCACCATCACCACCATTACCATCATCATCACCATCCTCACCATCACCACCACCACCATTACCATCATCATCACCATCCTCACCATCACCACCACCACCATTACCATCATCATCACCATCACCATCATCATCATCACCATAAAAAATCATCAGCTCTGCTGTAGTTGTTATTGCTACCAATCCCTGCTATGGACTAAGGTATATCCCCTCAAAATTCTTATGTAGAAGCTTTAATCCCCAATGTGACTATATTTGAAGAGAGGATCTGCAAGAGGTAATTAGGGTTACATGAGTTTATAAAAGTGGCATCATAATCTGAAAGAACTGGTGGTCTTATAAGAAAGAACTGGTGGCTCTTCTTATAAGGCTCACACCTGTAATCCCAACACTTTGGGAGGCTGAGGTGGGACGATCGCTTGAGGCCATGAGTTAAGGACTAGCCTGGGCAACATAGCAAGACCCCATCTCTAAAAATGAAAATAGCTGTGTGTGGTGGTACAAGCTGGTAGTCCTAGCTATTCAGGAGGCTGAAGTGGGAGTATTGTTTGAGTCCAGGAGGTCAGGGCTGTAGTGAGCTATGATTATGCCACTGTACTCCAGCCTGGGTGACAGAGACCTTGTCTCAAAATAGCAAAACAAAACAAAAAGGAAGTCTCTCAGTGTGCACTCACATGAAAGGCCATGTGACATGTGAGGACAAAGTGACCATCTATATGCCTGAAAGAGGAGGACCCTTCACCAGAAATCAGACATGCCAGAACCTTGATTTTGGACTCTGTTGTGTAAGCTACTCAGTTTGTAGTATTTTGTTATGGCACCTTGAACACTAATACAATCATCACCATCATCATTATCATCATCATCAGTATCATCATCATCATCGTCATCATCACCATCATCATGAACATCGCCATTGCCATCATCACCACTATCATCACCACCCCCATCATCACAACTCCCATTATCACCAGCCCCATTATCACCAGCCCCATTATCATCACCACCACCATCACCACCACCATCACCATCACCATCACCACCACCACCATCACAACCACCACCACCATCACCACCACCTCCATCACCACCACCACCTCCTTCTCCATCTCCACTGCCACCACCTGTTTCACCTTCACCATCACCACCATAACTTCTACCATCACCACCACCTCCACCATTACCACCTCTACCACCATTATTACCACCACCTCTACCACCACATCCACCACCATCACCATCATCATTGTGTCCACCAACATTACAACCATTTCCACTGTCACCACCTCCACCGCCACCATCACAACCACCTCCTTCTCCACATCCACCATCGCCTCCACCACCACCACTTCCTTCACCATCATCTCACCACCACCTCCACCTTCACTATCACCTCTACCACCACCACCATTAACACCATTACCACAATGATCACCATGACCACCTCTTCCACCATTACCACCTACACCACCACCACTATCACAACCACCATCTCCACCTCCACCTCTTCTCCACCCCTACTACCAAGACCTCTACCATCACCACCACCTTCATCATCACCTCCACCATCACCACCTCCACAACCGCCACCATTACTATCTCCACCTCCACTACCACTGTCTCCCTCCCCTTCATCATCACTACCTCCACCTCCACCACCACAACCAGCACTCTATTGAATTAGATGTTTTAGTGATTACAATAAGGCACATAAAAAAATAAATGAAGCGAAGAACATAGAAAGGAAGTGATAAATCTTCTTTTCTGTGGATGCTTCGATCATCTACCTAGAGTTCATTCTTGAATGAGCACTGGACAGAGTCAGGTGACCTGGACTAGAGACTGGCCTTGGCCATGACCTTTCTGGACAACTTGAGTCTCAGTTTCCCATCCATAGCTTGAGTGGAGGGACTAGAACAACTGTTTGCAAACTATGCTTCACTGAGCCTGAGGCCCCTATGGGGGCAAAGGGAAGTGAGCCTATCCCATCCCTTTCAAGGGTGTAGCTCTACTTTCATTTGACTTACATGTTAGGATTCCTTTATGTGAACAAAGGGTTCTGTGCCTCAAAAAAGTTGAAAATCACTGGATACACAACCAATGCAAGTATAGACTACAGATAGAAACAGGTAATTCACTGGAGAGAAGCCGGAGAAGCCAGAGCTCCATAAGAGACAGGCCCCTGGCTGGGTGCAGTGGCTCACACCTGTAATCCCAGCACTTTGGGAGGCCAAGGCAGGAGGATCACTTGAGCTAAGGAGTTTGAGACCAGTCTGGGTAACATAGCAAGACTCCATCTCTATAAAAAGAAAAAAATATTAGCCAAGCATGATGGCATGCATTTGTGGTCCCAGCTACTCTGAGGGAGGCTGAGATGAGAGGATCACTTGGGCCTAGGAGATTGAGGCTGCAGTAAGCTATGACTGCACCACTGCACTCCAACCTGGGGTGACAGAGCAAGGCCCTATCTCAAACAAACAAACAAAAAGAGTCAAAGCCCTGAGCCTCTCACTGGACAAGATGACTGTTTCTTCAACCCCACTACACTATTGCACACATAGATTATTTCCTTTTTTTTCACTTATTCTTTTTTTTTTCTAAGATGGAGTCTCGCTCTGTTGCCCAGGTTGGAGTGCAGTGGTGTGATCTCAGTTCACTGCAGCCTCCACCTCCCAGGTTCAAGAGATTCTTCTCCCTCAGCCTCCCAAGTAGCCGGGATTACAGGGTCCTGCCACCACACCTGGCTATTTCTTGTATTTTTAGTAGAAATGGGGTTTCACCATGTTGGCCAGGCTGGTCTCGAGCTCCTGACCTCAAGTGATCCTCTCATCTTGGCCTCCCAGAGTGCTGGGATAACAGGAGAGAGCCACTGCACCCAGCCTAGCCCTCTCTTTTCACTTATTCTAAACAACACTAGCATGAACAACCTTGTGTGCCCATCTTAGCATCCAAACACAAGTATTTCTGCAGGCAAGTTCCAGAAAAGAATTTCTGGGTCAAAGGGCAGCACATTTACAACACTAGGTGGATGCAGCCATGTGACTCTCCAAGAAAGACATTTATCTCCATCACAGTCTGCTCCAAACCAGACAGCACAAAGAATCAGATCTGGACAAGGACGAGATGTTCTTATCTTATGAGAGGTCATGGGAAGAATTCAAGAGTGTTTCTAACTGGCTCCTCAATAGCTGGCCCAGTCCTCCAGCCAGAGCTCTGCTGCAGGCCAGAATGTGGGGAAACCGGCCTTTGGCCACCCTGCGTGACTTAGGTTATATAGCAGAAAGAACTTCCAGAGAGTGAGGGGTTGTGAGATCATGGAGAAAGGACCAAAGGAACTAGGTTTCTCCCAGGAGTCTCTTAAAATAGGGGATGGGCAGAGGAGTTGATCTCTCTGGGATGGATTAAAGTGAGGAAAGAGTCCAGTTTCTCCTGAGACCTTGTGCAAGAATTGAGTGAATTTTTTTTTTTTTTTTAAGATAGGGTCAAACTCTGTCGCCAGGCTGAAGTGCAGTGGCACAACCACAGCTCACTGCAGCCTCAACTTCCCAGGCTCAAGTGATTCTCCCACCTCAGCCTCCTGACTAGCTGGGACTACAGGCATGCGCTACCATGCCCGGCTAATTTTTGTATTTTTTGTAGAGACGGGGTCTTGTCATGTTGCCCAGGGTGGGCTCAAACTCCTGGGCTCAAGCGATCTGCCTGCCTCAGCCTCTCAAAGTGCTGGGATTACAGGCGTGAGCCACCATGCCTGGCCCAGTTCTTTTTATTTAGGGAAAAATGCCATCCTGTATCTCCTTTTCCTCCAGCGCTAACCATAATACTGCCCTGGAACACAGGGTTTGGGACTCACCAGCTCCAGCACAAGCCTCATTCTTCCCTTCCTCTGTCCAGCTGTGGTCCAGAAAGGGCAAGCAACCTGCCCCAGGCGGCACAGCCAGGGAGGGGGCAGGGCCGGACCTCCACCCTGGGGCTCCCAACCGAGGCCCAGGACCTGCCCAAGGACCCCGCCCACCCCCCACCTCCATGTCGGATTCTGGAGAGCCCCAGGGCTGCGGGCCTGACTCCAGATTCCGTGGACACTCAGCACCTCCCGCATGCAGCGCCTGGAGCAGGAGTAAGAGTCTGAGTCCAGCAGGCCTGGCGTGGTCATGCACTAGCCACGAGCCCCCGGTCAGGCCACTTCAGCCGCCGTGGGCTTCCCGCGCTGTAAGATGGGGATAAACAGCAGCCCGCTGGGTCATCCTTCGCGGGGCTAGGATGCTATGCGCCCCACCAGCTTGGGTTCTCCTCCCGCGCTGGGTGCGCGCATGCGCCGTTTGTGAGCAGACAAGAAGGGCTCAGACCAGCGGAGGCGTTTGTGGTCAAATCCTCCGGGCTGCTGCCGACTGAGCTGTGGGGCTACTCAGATGTTGGATACATTAGCCTTGGGCCCCATCCCCCATTCATTCATTCATGCATACATGCATGCATTCATTCATTCATGGGATTGCAGGCACAGTGGAGCACTGGTTAGTGCTACAGGGTCCAACAACCCCAAAAGGTTCAAAGCTGGGCGCAGGCACTTTCTGGCTGTATGACCTTGGGCAAGTCACTTCACCTCTCTGAGCTTCTGCACCTTCCTGTGTAGAAGGTGGATAACAGCGGTGTTTCCCGCAGCTTTGTGAGGACCCGATGTATAGAAAGTGCTTAGTACCATGCCTGGTACACAGTGGTGCTCAAGAAGTGATAGAAATCCTAATGGTGAGATTTAAACACTGAGGAAGGACAGAGGTGGGAGGTATGGGGGTCGAGGGGGTTTCCCTGAGCTCCTCATATCACAGCCACCCCCCGGGGGCAGGAGCAGAGGAGATATCCAATGCCTTTGATGCCATGCATCCCCTCTGCTCCTCATTCGAGGGCCCAGCCTTGAAAAGGGCATAGCACTCCCTTCTCAACATTTATTGAGCACCTACTGGGTGCCTAGCTCCACACTGGACTCTAAGCACCAGGGCTCGGAGGAGGAGCCACCCAATCTCACAAATCAGAACTGCCCGAGGGAGGCAGCGTGCTCTTTAGAGCTTCCTGAGGGCAAGGGCAGCAGGGATCATTGGAACCACCCTTATTCCATCCTGGGCCCTGGGCCATGCACCCCACCAGCGTTTTCTCCTCGGGACCCCAACAGGGCAGGACCTGTGGGTTCGCAGGTGAAGCCCTGAGGCTCCAAAAGGAGGCCGAAGCTGCTCCACATCACAGCCTGGATGTGGAATTTGAAGGCTGGGATTTGAACCCAAGTCTTCTGGGAGGTGAGTCAGACGCCTTGCGCTCTTCCCCCACTGTGCCTGGAGAACGTTGCTACCTAGGGTCCATGCTGACAAGTTTATATAGATGGGAACATAACAGAGAGAAGGCGGAAGTTCCAGGTCACCCAGTCATTAGCCCAGCTGGGTCCCCCTTCTCCTTCCACCCAGAAATAGCCCTGGCGCCTGCCCCAGACCAGCCCTAGCCTCTGGGCTCCCCGACGCTTGTCACCAGTTACATCTCCAGCCACACTGGCCCAGACAACATCTAAGCCCTGGTTGTGGTCGCCGCACCCCAGAGGAAGACAGGGAACAGCTGAGGCATGACCCCTCACCTCACTGGGTGCACAGCCCCCGCAGAGGCATGCATGGATTGGAGGGCCTTTTTGCCACCCAGAGGGTAAAGGGAACCTGTCTCTTCTCCAGCCACATCCTTCGCCCCTCCCTGGGGTTTGCAGGTCTTCCCTGGCTCCTGGCCCTGCTCTGGCCTCTCCAACACTTCCACTGCCCTGCCCCCTATGAAAAGATGTTAAGACTGTAAAGTTTCAAGCATCTGAGAATACTGATCTTATGATTCTGAAGCCTCTAAACTAGACCTGGAAAGAAAAGGTGACTCTAGAACAGCTGGATGTTTAGAGATAGAAGTTTCCCCCTTTCCCCTTCTGCGGGCATTGCACTTCACAGTTCACAGCTAACCACAGCTTACATTCCCACAGGCAGCCCATTCCAAGCACTTTAATAAATGAACTCAACTCTCACCCACACTCCAAGGTAGGTACCACCATTATTGCCATTTCACAGATCAGGAAACGCAGGCCTACAGGAGTTAAGTGATTTATCCAGGGGAGATAGTAGAACTAGGATTCCAGCCCAGGTCATCTGAAACCTGCACCCCTAACCACCATACACACTTCTGGGAACATTTGTAAAGTGCATCCATATTTCTTAGCCTCACTGTATTCTGGGGGAAGAGGAGAGGCAGGGCAGGGGCTGTGGCCCCAGTGCCCTTCTACCTCCCTCTGCCCTTTGCTGTCTGTAATCTTTGACCCCTATGACCCCTGAAGGGGGAAGAAGAAGGATGCAGTCCCCATCCCTCCTCTTCCCCCTCCAGCTCTGCCAGTTGGGCCTGACTGCCCATACTCTAAGGGAGAGGCTGCAGGTGGTCACCCCCAAGCCTGGACTCTCCAGCCTTCCAGGGCACCCCAGGTGTCACTACAGGGCCCCAGTGGGTGGTAGACATCGCAGGGGCCTCAGTGGCCAGAGTGGATTTACCAGCAGGGCTGTTATTTGCTTTGCAGCTGCCACCATAAACCCTGGACGCCCCTGGGGAGAGGGAGCAGCTGCCGGGAAACCTCCCGGGCCCTGGAGCCGTCACCAAATCCCTGCTGCTATTTCTGAGCAGCCAAAGGAATCCTGAAATTAAAACCTTCTGAAAAAAATGGCAATTCCCCGTCCCACTCCAGACAGATGAAGATACTTCTCCCAAAATAGATGAAGAACCAAGGAGGAAACAGCGCAGAGCTGGACACAGCTCAAGACTTCCCACAAGAGACCTGATTCCTGCCCAGCTCTGCCCCACCCAAGCCCCTGTCTGGTCCTCACCTGCCCGACTATAAAATAAAGGGCTGGGATCCTCAACTTTAGTACATCAGAATCACCTGCAGAGCTGAAACAGCACTCAGGGGTCCCAGGTGATGCTGATGTCCTCTGAACCTTAGAAGTTTCCCTAAAGTCACTTTCAGCTCACACATCCCCACTCTTTAAGGTTTGACACTCCAACTACTGGCTGTGTGATGTTGGATGAGTCACTTGACCCCTCTGAGTCTCCATTCTTCTCATCTGTATAATGGAGAGAAAGAATGATCACCTCCTCTTGAAGGTTGTGAGGAAAAAATCAAATAACATTAGTAGTTCATAGCAACTTTGTAATATCCCAAAACTGGAAACCATCCAAATGTCCATTAGCAGGTGAATGGATAAAGAAATTGTGGTACATCCATATGACAGAATGCTACCTAGCGATGAAAAAGAGTGAGATATTGATACTACAAAAACATGAATACATCTCAAAACATGTATGCAGAGTGAAAGAAGCCAGGCGGAAAAGACAACACACATTGTATGTTTCCACTTGTAGAAAATTCCAGAAAAATTAAAACCATTCATAGTGACAGAAAGCAAATCAATAGTTGCCTGGTCATTAGCGGAGGGAGGAAGGATGAGAAGGAAGAGTAAGGAAGGATTATGAAGGGGTACCAGGGAACTTCTGGAGGTGATGGAATGTTCATTATTTTGATCGTGATGACCGTTCTGGTGTAAACACATGTCAAAAATCATCAAAATGTACACTTTTCTTTTTGTTTGGTTTTTTGTTGTTTTTTGGTTCTTGTTGTTGTTGTTGTTGTTGTTGTTGTTGTTTTTGAGATGTAGTCTCACTCTGTCACCAGGCTGGAGTGCAGTGGCACGATCTCGGCTCACTGCAACCTCTGCCTCCTGGGTTCAAGAGATTCTCCTGCCCCACCCTCCCGAGTAGCTGAGACTGCAGGTGCCAACCACCACACACAGCTACTTTTTGTATTTTTAGTAGAGATGGGGTTTCACCATGTTGGCCAGGATGGTCTCAATCTCCTGACCTCGTGATCCACCTGCCTCGGCCTCACAAAGTGCTGGGATTACAGGTGTGAGCCACCACATGCAGCCGGGTTTTTTTGTTTTGTTTTGTTTTTTGTTTTTTTGGGTTTTTGGGGGTTTTTTTGTTTTGAGACAAGGTCTCGCTCTGTCACCCATGCTGGAGTGCAGTGGTGCAGTCACAGCTTACTGCAGCCTCAACCTCCTGGACTCAAGCGATCCTCCCATCTCAGCCTCCCAAGTAGTTGGGACAACACGCACGCCACTGTGCCAGCTAATTTTTGTATTTTTTGTAGAGATGGGGTTTCACCATGTTGCCCAGGCTAGTCTCAAACTCCAGGGCTCAAGGGATCCTCCCACCTCAGCCTCCAAAGCACTGACATTACAGGCGTGAGCCATCAGCATCTGGCCCTGGCTAATTTAATTTTTTTTTTTTTGGTAGAGATTGGGTTGGGGGTGCTCACTACATTGCCAGGCTGGCCTCAAGTGATCCTCCTGCTTTGACCTCCCAAAGTGCTGGAATTACAGGTATGAGCCGCTGGGCCTGGCCAAATTGTACACTTTAAATATGTGCATTTTATTCTGTGTCAGTTAACCCTCGGTAAAGCTGTAAAAAATATTATTGGCAAAGCACCAGCCATGTGCATAATAGCCCTTTTACAAATGGCAGCTATTTCTGTTATTAATCACTGTAGCTGCGTCTAGATCATTCTTTGATTAATTTTCATCTGTTCCACTAGAATACAGCTTCAGGTCTGTTGTGCTAACACTGTGTTCCCAATACCCGGCACATAGTAGGTGCTTATGAAATAGTTGTGGTTGCAAATCGGAGAAGCTACGAACCTGCTACTTTCTCCTGGGCCACCTCACAACCCAGAGGGTTAATTAATCCCAACAGGAGCAGATTGGATGATTCTAGGCCTGTGTGAATGAGACACACAGGACAGGCGAGACACACAGGACAGGCATGACCCACAGTCAACACCCCCGGGAGAAGGAGGACAGAGGAGGTCGAAACAGGGATGCAGGACCTATGATGAAACTCACACCCCACTGCACCGATAGTGGAAGACTCGGCCTTTAGACCATAGATATGTTCTAAAATGAGGCAGCTGAAGAGCCTTGAGGAACTAGACAGACCTGGGTTCGAATCCCAGCTTCGCCGGGCTGTGCGACCTCAAGCAAGTCACTGCAACTCTCTGAGCCTCAGTTTCTTCATCTGTGCAATGCGGGTACTGACATTGCTCAGCTCTCTGTGGGGAATGCAGTGAGGGTTAAATATGGTTATGGATATATGGTTATGGATGTATGGTACACTGATTCATATGCCCTCCTTCAGCCTTACACACTTGTACATGCACACACACGGAACCCCTACTGTGTGCCAGGAACCATGCCAAGCGCTAGAGAGGCAGTGGTGGGCCAACCCCCAGGCTTCTCTCCTTGTGGACTTTGCATCTTAAGTGACAGTTGCTCAGCTGTATCCTCAGAGAATCTGATGTCATTGGTCTAGGTGGGGCCCAGGAGCCAGTATTTTAATTTTTTAATTTTAATGGGGTCTCACCATGTTACCCAGACTGGTCTCAAAATCCTGAGCCCAAGCAATCCTCCTGCTTCAATTTCCCAAAGTATTGGAATTACAGACATGAGCCAGCATACCTGGCCTAGATGTCAACTTTTTTTTGAGACAGGGTCTCGCTCTGTCACTGAGGCTGGAGTGCAGTGGTGCGATCACAGCTCACTGCAGCCTCAACCTCCTGGGCTCAGTCAATCCTCCTGCCTTAGCCTCCCAAATAGCTGGGACCACAGGTGCCCACCACCACTCCTGGATATTTATTATTATTATTATTATTATTATTATTATTATTTTAAAGACAGGGTCTCCCTATGTTGCCCAGGCTGGTCTCAAACTCCTGGTACAAGTGAGCCTCCTGTCTTGGCCTCCCAAAGTGCTGGGATTATAGGTGTGAGCCACCTAGCACCTGGCTAGGAGCCAGTATTTTGTTAAACTCCCAGGTAATCCCAATGTGCAGGTGGAGACCCCTGCTACATGGGATAGGGTCATTCCCTCTTTACACACATGAAAACGGAGGCCCAGAGAGTTGAGGCGACTTGCCCAAGGCTCCACAGCTAAGAAAGAGTGGAGCTGGGACTGGACCCAGACAAGGTGACCATGGGACCAGAACCACCTGAAACATCACAAGAGGGTTAAAGACAATGTGCCCAGCAGAGATGTGCCCACTGCCCAATCTCACTCTCACCTTCGACTTGACCCCAGCCAGGGAACGCCCAGCCCTCCTGGGCTGATCAGAGCAGAGCAAGGGGCTGGGAAGGAGTCCCGCTTCCAACCAGTGGCCCTTTAGCACCCCCAACACCCACACAGTTGACCAGAATCCCCCATCTCTACCCTGAGCTGGGGTTGAGGCCTTGGGGTAGTTTTGCTCCTCCTCCCCCTCCCCCTTTAGAATGACAGCAGGCCTGGCTCGGGGACAGACTCACAGGCTGGTGGCAGCTGTGCCGTTTTACAAGCCCAGAGACAGTGGGGGGACTGTTCAGGCCCTGGCAGACTCCTGGGCCCCTGAGAACAGTGGAACCCTCTCCCTCAGCCTCAAGCCCAAATCTCCCCCAATCCTGCTTACCCCCCAGCAACCACCGTCTCCCTCTATGGCTCAGTGTTCACTGGTGCCCAGCCAGATGTGTGCCCATAAAATGCCCCTTCTAGGTAACCCCATCTCAGATGTAAGAGCAGATTGGAGTGGCTTTAAGCAGGAGAGGAGCCCTGCTGCCCCCTTCCCAAGGGATTCATTCATTCATTCTTCAAAGAAGCATTAGAGCCCAGTGGAGAATTCAGACGCTGGAATCAAATTGCTGGGCTGGAATCCTGGCTCTGGGACCTGGGCAGCCGACATCATCACCTCTCTGGGCCTCAGTTTCCACATCTGTGACATGAGAATAATAACAGTGCCCACCTCAGAGGGCTGCAAGTCTCAATGAGTTAATGATGCCAAGTACTGAGAGCAGGGCCTGGCACATAACAGGGGCTCATTAATTGGAAGCCATTATTATCATTGAGCCAAGGGACTGTGGAAGGGGGGTGGGGTGGAAGCTATCAGGGAAGGCTCCCAGGAGGAAGGGACATCTAGGCCAGAAGCTAAAGGATAAGGGGAAAGTTAGCAAGGCAGCAGGGGGTTGGGAGGGGTGGAAAGGTGTCATAGGCAGAAGGAACAGCAGCTGTAAAAGCTCAGAGGTGAGGAAGAGGTGAACTGCTCTGTTGCTCGGAACACCTCCTTCATTCATCCCCCACCAGTCTTGGGGGTCACAGGCTATGGCTGAGGTCATGGACTCCATGTCCTCTGGAGGGTCCCGCTGAGCATTAGTGGAAGACTGCAGACTGGAGCCGCTGATCAGGGAGCTCACCCCCGTCTGCACCCCCAGGGTCTCTAATGATTGCTTCTGTTTTACTAGATTTTTATGTATTCAAGGGAAGCTTCATGCACTTCCCAGTCACGTCACAACAACTAACACCCCGCAGGAGCTTGGGAACAAGAAGAAAGCACAGCCCGTGACACCCAGCGAAGTTGAATGATTTGGTCGATTTGGTCAGAGCCACGCAGCACACACAGGTATTACTCTTCCACCCTCCTGCTGTTCTTGGCAGGCCTGGCTGGGCTGAGAAAGGGAGGGCCCTTCCCCACTGAGTGAGACAGAGGCTATTGTGTGTTATGAAACCCAAAACTCTGGGGCCCCCTCCGGCTGGAGGTGGGGTCGGTGGAGGGGAGGGGCTGCAGGGGATGGCCCACTGCCCCCCAGCCCCAGGGACCCAGCACATGCTCCCAGCCCCAGCCACATCTGGATTCCAGCTGGCAGCTCCTGAGGCCCAGGGTGCGGGGGAGAAGTCGCTGCAGGAACTTGCCATCAAAGACCAAGAGGAGTTTTGTGGGTGGGGAGACAGAAGGCAGAGGCCGACTGCAGGGCCAGGGCTGCCTCCTACTCCCGATCCCGGCCAAGGGTGCAGTGAGGGGGGCATTGTCCATGAGACCCGTCCCAGTCCTCAACCACCTGCAGGGGAAACAGAGAGGTGAGTGACTCTCCCATGGCCACAGTGGCAGAGCTGGGCATGGAACCTGGGTCTGCGTGGCCACAAGTCCAGAGCTGGTGCTCCACCCCTGGGGACATGAGTTCCAGCCCATTCCTCGGGAGCACCGGTCTTTCCTTTGTTTCCCACATCAATCTGTCCCTTCACCCTCCAGGACTGGGCTGATGTGTCTCCCCAGAAAGTTGTCCCCATCCCCATGCAAGAGCCCCTCCCCAGCAGGCTCATTTCCCCCACCCCCCAGAAAACTGGTGAGACTTCAGGCCGGAATAAAGGTTTATTGTGCTGGTGCATTATATCTCAGCACCTGGAGAGCTGTGCAGAGGTTGGGGGAGCCCCAGATGGAGGGATGGGGGAGAGGACCTCCTGCCAGAGCCTCCCTAAAGCAGGACGGAGCCCAGGCTCCCTGTCGAGGACTGACGAATATTGTGGACACAGGCTGCCAGACAATGTGTGAGCAACAGGGGGTGGCCAGGGCCCCCCTGCTCCAGGCTGGGCGTCAGAAACCCTTCCCCAGCCCCTCGGACTTCCCCAGGGTGGAGGTCCCCTCAAACACAGCCCCTCAGCTTCTAGGCTGCTTTGGAGGCCAGACAGGAAGAGTTCCATTCATTCAACCTGATCCCAGCAGCAGTAGCGGGATGAGAAACTCACCCCCAGGCCGGGGGTGCTTGGAGAGCGCTTGAGAGGATTTAAATGCCCTATACCCCACATCCCTAATCCTGGACCAACTAGAAACAGGGGGCCACCTTCAGGAAAATTAAGAGCAGTATTTTCCAGAGTGGGTGCTGCAGGATTTTACCCTGTAGCTGTTTTAAAAAGTAGTTTGGGCCGGGCACGGTGGCTCACGCCTGTAATCCCAGCACTTTGGGAGGCAGAGGCAGGTGGATCACCTGAAGGTCAGGAGTTCCAGACCAGCCTGGCCAACATGGTGAAGCCCCATCTCTACTAAAAATACAAAATTTAGCTGGGCGCAGTGGTGGGCACCTGTAATCCCAGCTACTGAGGCGGGAGAATCGCTTGAACCTGGGAGGCGGATTGCACTGAGCCAAGATTGCACCAAGATTGCACCACTGCACTCCAGCCTGGGTGACAGACCGAGACTCCGTCTCAAAAAAAAAAATCTTGTTTCCGTAGAGTGCCTCGGGGAACCTAGTTTGGGAAATGCTCATTTAGGGACCTGTCGTAATGTGTGCAGGGGTCCTCTCACAGAAGTGTCCTAATTAACCACACACACTTCTGCTGCTGGAGCTCTGAGCACAGGCAGAATGACACTAAAATATTCAGCATTGAAAGGACACAAGAAGGGAACCATTTGCAGTTTCAAAATACTGCTTCACGCCAGGCTGCATGTTGCCTTACGAACGCTGGGCACCTTGGCGTCTCTCATCCAAACTCTTCCAAAACTCCCACTTATTCTTTGCTCCCTTGATGGAAAAGCAGTGATGTTTGCCCCACAAATGACCTGTGACATATGATTCCCAATTAATGTGGCTGATTTAGTGGACTGTTTTTTGTTTTTATAGAGATGGGTCTCACAATGTTGCCAGGGCTGGTTTGGAACTCCTGGTCTCAAGTGATGTCCGCACTTGGCCTCCCAAAATGCTGAGATTACAGGTGTGAGCCTCCACACCCAGCCTTGAGGGATGTTTTATCCTGGCTGTCACAGGGACACGTGCCCTCCCTCACTTTGTCAGGGGAGCTGTGCTGTAGGATGTAGCCCTTTGGGGCTGCTGAGGTGAAGGATGATGGCACTTGGTAAGATTCCTCCGGGGCACCGGGGACCAGCATTTCTGCCTGCTGTAGAATCAGCACATGCTGGGATTGGCACCACAGGGAGGCCAAGGAGGGAGTGTCAGGAAGCAGTCAGGGCTGAAGGCCTTTTCATACACGGGGAGGTGACCACTTGGGGGCCCGACAGTCAGGGCTGGCAGCCCGGGAGGACTGTTAGACACTGGGGTGGACACTGCTGCAAGCACAGGGGCTTTCGGGGGGACCCACTGGTCCCTGGGCTTCCTGGGCTAACAAGAGAGACCCTTCCAGCTCCCCTTGGCCCTCACCGGCCACCACAGCCCCCTCAAGGACCCCTGAGCACGGCTCCTCCTGCGCCTCTGGTGTCTCCACTGGGACCCCATGTCCCTGGACTTCCTGGTCCCCCTCCTGGCTGCCCTTCTCCTCTTCCTCTGCGCCCCTGCCCTCCACCATCCTGGCTCCGTCCCCACCGCCCAGTGCAGCCCTGGTGGGGGACTTGAGGTTCTGGGTGGCGGCCAAGATGTCGGCCTGGAGCTGCCGGGAGGAATCCAGGGCTTCCTCGGGCCTGCTGTCGGGGGCTCTGTCGGGGACCTCACTGAAGGCCCGGGGGCCCCCGGCCCGGTCACTCTGGTCCACGTACTTCTTCTTGGGGAAGGACGATGGGTAATAGGCCGAGGCCTTCTGCTTCTGCCGGGTGATGACCGCGGCACAGACGATGAACATCAGCAGAAAGGCCAGGGAGCCCACCACAGCAATCAGCATCACGTACTGGCGGAAGAAGTCCACTATCCCATCCAGGAAGTTGGTGGGGGGTGATGGGCCCCCCAGGGTTATGGGCTGGGGCCCCATCGATGTGGGGCTGAGGGCCGGGGTCCAGGGTGGCGGGAGGCTCGGGGAGGAGGCCGACGAGCCCTCGGCCTCCCCACTACCCGCCACATCCTCCAGGAACGTGGCCTTCAGGGGCACAGAGCGGGCGTCGGTAGCAGGCACAGACCCCAGGAGCAGCAACAGAAGGATGAGGAGGCTGGGGGCTGCCGCCGAAACCATGGTGCCCCCAGGACCTGTGAGACAGGAGGGAGGAGAGAAGTCATGGCGGAACTCTAGAGTGTCAGGATTCAGAAACAGGCTCACCAGCCCCCAGGAGGAACAGGGAGCATGAAACACCTTCTAGCAAGTCCCTTCCATTCCCAGGGCCTGAGCCCCGCTGGTTCAGCTGTGGAGTACAGATGTGCTCCCCCACTTCTCTGGAGGTCCCGGAGGTCAGGGGCTGAATCTTATTCATCTCGGCCTCCTCAGGGTTTGGCCCCATATCTGGTATTCAGTAAGTGCTCAATAAATGTACCCTGACTGACGTGGCTGAATTAATAATGATAATTTACACTTTCATGACTTTATGTGTCAGCCACTGTTTTAAGTTTCTTACATGGAACTTCTCAATGAATCCTGATCACTGCCCAGTGTGGGAAGTTCTATGATTAGGCCCATTTTGCAGATGAAAAAACAGAGGCTGAGAGGGACGTGGTGACTTGCCAGGGAAGAGCTGGGTCTGGATCCAAGCAGAGAGGGAGAAATGATAGTAGGGCTGAGTAAGTGAGAAACCGATTGAGTGACTGAGGTTGCTGAGTGACACCTCACCCCCTACCCACAACTCTGGGACCCTTCCCTTCAGTCCCCAGCCTCTCTGTGGTCCCGTTCCCCTCAGGGTCTGGCCCCCATGCACTGGGTGGCCAAAGTGGCTCCGCGCGGCCACAACCTGGTGGTTCAGGGGCTTTCTCAAACCTTCCGCCAGCCCAGCTCTACCTTATTCTGCAAAAGATTCCTAGCAGGGCAGGCGCAGTGGCTCACGCCTGTAATCCCAGCACTTTGGGAGGCCGAGGTGGGCAGATCACTTGAGGTCAGGAGCTCAAGACCAGCCTGGCCATCATGGTGAAACCCCATCTCTACTAAAAATACAAAAATCAGGCAGGCATGGTGTCGTGCCCCTGTAATCCCACCTACTTAGGAGGCTGAGGCAGGAAAATCGCTTGAACCTGGGAGGCGGAGGTTGCAGTGAGCCGAGATCGCGCCACTGCACACTCCAGCCTAGGTGACAGAGCGAGAACCTATCTCAAGAAGAAAAAAAAAAAAAGATTCGTAGGGTTTGAAGCCTCCAGGTCTCTGAGCTAGGCAGGGGTCATGGATGCCAGGGGCATGCATGGACAGCCCCCTGTGGCTGCCCTCACCCCCAGGCTCCAAGCAGGAGCCAGGATGGGCCCCAGGGTGGGGAAGTCCTGGTTCCCAAGACAAAGCTGAGCTGCCGATGCGCCCCGCCCCCACTAGATGGGAACCAGATGAGCCGGGGGCCTCCCTGCCCTGATGGAAGGCTGCTCCCGGGTGAACCCCAAGACCCCACCTGGCCCAGACAGCCCGGCTGATGAATTAATTCCTCATAGCCAGAGTTGACAGAGGAGCTGAGTTTCAAAACACTGTCTCTCCCAGCCAATGTGAGCTGGGGGCTCCCAGCTGCTCAAACCCAGGGACAATTCACTGCACTGTCCTCTGAGAACCCCTGCCCGGCCCAGCAGAGGGCTCAGGTCCCGGAAGCGGGCTTGGGTCTAGAAGCTTCAACACAGAAAAGCCTTAGGATCTCCTGTCCTGAGGCCTCAGGGAACTGAGGTGGAGAGACAGAGGCCCGGAGAAGGCAAAGGGCAGGCCCAGGGCCACACAGCAAGTTCCGGGCTGGAGGAGGAAGCCAGGCTCCCAAGGCCTCGGCTGCGGTCACATCTCCAGCACCTGGGCCTCAGGGCCTGCTTGGTGAAGCAGAGGACACTACCTTCCCCACAGGTACCGTGAGGATTCTGGAGGTGAGGTAGGAACCAGGTTGGGCCATTGAGGGGCTTGTTCCAGGTGACCTGAGGCTTCTCTGTGACACAGCTTTCATTGAAATGGATCGCATCAGCTGGGTGCGGTGGCTCATGCCTGTAATCCCAGCACTTTGGGAGGCCAAGGTGGGAGGATCACCTGAGCTCAGGAGTTCAAGACCAGCCTGGTCAACACGGCAAAATTCTGTCTCTACTAAAAACACCAAAAATTAGCCAGGCCTAGTGGCGCACACTTGTGGTCCCAGGTACCGAGGAGACCGAGGTGGGAGAATCGCCTGAGCCCGGGAAGTTGAGGCTGCAGTGAGCGGAGTTGGCACTGCACTCCAGCCTGGGTGACAGAGCAAGAACCTGTCAAAAAAAAAAAGAAAGAAAGAAAAGAAAAAAAAGAAATTAAATGTGAACAAACTGGCTTAGATGGAAAAAATAAAAAAATAATTCCAGGACATAAAAAGAGGCAAAATTGGCCAGGTGTGGTGGCTCACACTTGTAATCCCAGCACTTTGGGAGGCCGAGGCCGGAGGATTGATTGAGGGCAGGAGTTTGAGCAACATAGTAAGACCCCACCTCTACAAAAAAATAAAAAAGTAGCCAGGCCTGGTGGTGTATGCCTGTAGTCCCAGCTACTTGGGAGGATCGCTTGAGCCCAGGAGTTCAAGACCAGCCTGGGCAACATAAGGAAACCTCCATCTCTATGAAATATATTAAAATATTTCAATTTTTTAAAAAAGAGACAAAGCTTCTCAGGGGCTCATTTTAAATGAGCTGGTCACCTGTGCTTTCCTCGCGGGTACTCATCTAAGCCCTTTTCATGCCTTTAATCCTACAGGAGCCCTGAGGCAGCTTCATTATCCCCATTTTACAGATGAGGAAACAGAGGTTCAGAGACAGACAGTGACTTCCCCAAGGACACACAGATGATAAGTAGCTGAGCTGGGATCTGAACCTTCCTCTGTCTGATCCCAGGAGTTTACACGCACATTCACACAAACCACACTCACACTCATACACAGCCATACATACACATGCACACTCACCACACACACAACCATTCATACACGCCACACACTCACACACACATCCCCATACACACCCCACACATAATCATGCACACACGCCACACACACACACACCCATATACACACATGCACAGACTACACAATCATACACACATGCACACACACCACACACAACCATGCACACACATACCACACACACACTCACACACCCATATACACACATGCACATACTACACACACAATCATCTACACACATGCACACACACCCCACACACAAACATGCACACACGCCACACATACCCATATACACCCCACACACAACCACGTACACACATGCCCCACACACACCCCTATACACACATTCACATACTACACACAATCATACACACATGCACACACCACACATATATGCATACACTCCACATACACACAACCATACACATACACCACACACACTCACCTACACAACCACACACACATGCACACACCACACACTCTGAGCCAGGAATGGCTTGTTCCCGCTGGTGGACATCACCTGTCAGATGCTAAATGAGGAAAGGACCCCCTCACCTCTCTGGCACCTGTTAGCAAAGGTTCCTACAGACAACCTTGAGCTTTGGGGTCTGTGACCTGCCAGTCACCTCCCTGCCTCCCACCCCCAGTCAAGCCTAGGAGAGAGCTTTTGTGGCAACAACTACCACTTCTCACTGCAGAGGGCAGCTGGGACCATGGGTGGCTGGAGACCCACTCAAGTTCTGGCTGGGTCAAGAATCCCGGCTCCATCGCATCCAGCTCTGTGGTCTGGCTCCTGTGGGCCTCACTTTCCCCATCCGTAAGTTGGGACAGGGTGACCACAGGTAGCACCTCTCAGAGCTGTTAGGGCCAAATGAGACAACTTTCAGAGAGTGCCTGGTGCGAAGTAGCTGAGCCCCGAGGAAAGATAGGGTCTGGGGTAGCTGAATTCCTTCCCTAGCCGAACTCCAGGTTCAGCCAGCAATTTCCCACCCTGAGTCGACAAATGAGCACCATCGCCGGATGGGAACATGCGCTCACTGTCTGGTCCGGCCGCCACCCAGTGAAAGACCAACCTTTTCACCCCGTTCAGTGAAACCTCTTTAGCTCTGGCCGCCAAGGAATGCAGAACCAAACACACACATGCACACACATACACATACACACACATGCACACATACACCTACACACACATATACATACAACACACACACACACACACACACGAAGTCAGAGGCAGAGGGCAAGAAAGGAGAACACACAAACTGCCACTGGCTCTTTAAGGCTGAGACCCTGACTCTCAGAGTCCCCTGCACCCCACAACCCCTCCTGGCTTCCAGGGAAAGGTGGGGGCAACGTATGGAGGACCCAGCCCCACCTGCAGTCAGCAGAGCCTCAAAAAAGATGGTTGTGTGGCCCTGGACGGCCCCTGCCCTCTCTGGGCCTCAGTTTCCCATCTGTGGAATGAAGCACTGTTCTGGGCAGCTCTGAAGTCATTATTCTGCCTACCTCCCCCCGGACCCTAATTTTTTCAAGGACTCAGAATCTAACAGGCCATTAGGAGCTGGGGTCAGGCCCAACGCCTCTTGCTTCACCTTAGAGGTAACTCAGGTCCAGAGACTGGAAACAGCCTGCCCAGGTCACACAGAAAGTCAGGGGTGAGCCCAGCAGAGCCCTGGACAGAGAAGCCTGTCTTGGTATATCCCAGAGGAGGTCACTTCCCGGCTATGTGTCCTTGGGCTGGGCATGTCACCTCTCTGAGCCTCGGTTTCCATATCTGTACAATGGGGATAAGAGCCACCTCCCTGGACTGCTGTTAGGACAAGATGCGGCCATGCCTGGTGCACAGTGGGTGCCAATTAGCAGGTACCACGTGATTGCCCAGGACTCCCTGCCTGGGGACATGTCAGGCAGGGCTGGCCGTGTGTAAGTGTGGCAAATGCCCTAAGATGGTCCTGAGTCTGTGGAGGAGTGCAGATGCACCCCTGAGGCCTGGGGGCCCCAAGACTTGAAGCTAGGGGACCGGGGGCTGCCCCACCCCCACCCAGAGACTGGTGGCCTTTGGGGGAGGGGCGGCCCACGGAAACCTGGCTTCAATCAGTGGCCTTGTGGGGGAGGGGTGTTCTGGTTGGAGCACTGCACATGCCCCCGACCCCAGGGCCAGCCAAGGACAGGGACCTGGGCCCTGGAGGTCTGGATGGGGAGGGGGGTCCTGGGGGCACAATCCCCCTCCACACACACACACACACACAGAGCAGCATGGACACACAATATAAAGACACACAACACAGGCACACCGACTCACACAGCACTGAGACACCCAACAGCACTCTCATGGCCCATGCACACAATACACAGAGAACACACACGGACACACAACACATATACATACACAACCCCCTGACACACAGCCGATCCCTGCACACAGGACAATACCGTCCACATCACCCTCACACAGATCCTGGAAGCAACAGCCTGGCATCCACTTGCAGAAAAGTGGAAGCAACACACCCCCTACACCAAGGCCCCAGCCGCACACACACAACACTCCGGCCCACCCTGGCCCACCCCAGCACCGCACACGGGACTCAGATTCCACCACACTCATGCACACAACACCAAACACACACTCAAAGCCCACACACACTTAGAGAGGCCCCCCAGAGTGCTCCAACAGTCCCCAGTCCCTAAGCTCCAAGATAGCTCCAGGCTCTCAGGACAGAGGAGGGGACCCCAGGACTCACCAGTTCCTTGGCGTACAGGACTGGGTGCTCCCGCCGAATGGAGCGAGAGTGGGGGGCACCTGGGCTGGAAGAGAGAGTCCGTGCTGGTGCCCGGGGCTGCTCTGGGCTGGCGCCTGCCCGCCCTCCCTCCTCCCGTCCCTCCTCCCGTCCCTCCTCCTTCCTCCCTCCCCGGCTGGGCCGCAGGGCCAGCTTGATTTCATTAAGAGGGTTTGGGGTGGGGACAGGGGGAGGGGAGGGGCTACTCTCGGGCCACACGCAATCCCACCCTTGCTCACACTCTCGCTCTGGGGAAGACCAGATGCGGCACTTCCTCCCTGACCTCGGGTCCCCAGGGCAGGCTGAGACAGACAGACAAGGCTGTCCTGCAGCGCTCCCCCAGACAGTGAGCTGGGGTTCTGCCCACGCTGCTGCCCAATACCCTCCAAAGGGGACAAGCTCAGGGAGGTTCAGAGGCCTCTGGAAGTGGGAAGGAAAATTCCCCGTCCTTGTGTGGCTCAGGCTTCCAGGCTCAGGGTGCAGCGTGGGAGCTGGGATTCGTTTTAGAGACAGGCCTGATGGTGGGTCCGAGCCTGAGACAGGGAGCCCAACTCTGCCCTTCCCTCTCCAGACCTCAGTTTCCCATTTGTAGGGATGGGTGGGAAGCTTTCTGGGCTACCTCTGACTCTGATGTTCTGGGATCTGTGGCCTCACAATGCCCCCAAATGATAGTAGCTTGAATAGGAGTTGGAGCCCCATTTCACAGAGGGGGAAAGTGAGGCAGGGTGAGTTCTAATGGTTCAAGCAGGGTCCTGAGGTGAGTCAGTGGCAGGCCTTGGAACCGGGACGTCTGGCTGACCTGAGGAGTCCTGTGGATTAGCAGCCCCTTGCATTCATTCATTCATTCATTCATTCATGCATTCATTCGGCAAGTGCTCAATGAACACCTGCAGCAGGCCACGCACTGTGCTAAGCAAGTTCCAGAGGTGAATCAGGCACAGCCCAGCCTTGGGGAGCTCACAGACTACCAGGGAGAAGGACACCGAGGTAAATTACTTTTTTGCCAAACAGAAAGGGGTCAGGTCAAGGGCTCCGAGAACCCCAAGACAGAGAGATCAATCCCCCAAGGGAAAGAGGTAGGAAGCCATCCTGGAGGGCATGCCTGTGTATGAGCAGAAGCGGGCAAAGCAGGCCCTGGAAAGGCATTCCGCATGGAAGGACCAGCGTGGGTAAAGGTATGGTGGCTGGGAATGCCACCACGCACAAGCCACCGCAATTAGATTAGGCTGGAGCATGGACCAAAGAGAGGATCATGTAGTAAGGGTCAGAGATGTTGACAGGAGCCAGGCTAAAGTCTCGGAAGGTCGGAGGCAGTACGGAGCCAGTGAGGGTTTGGAACAGGGGAGTGCATGAAGGATGAGTGCGTGCTCTCTGGGTAGGAACCAAGCCTAGATTATCATTGTTCCCTGCAATGGTCCCAGCAGCCCTCGCTCACCCCCAGAAAACTGGGACAGTCATTTGCTTGGGAAATAAAATCAGAGACTTTCCCATCTTCTCTGGAAATCACCCCAAACCCTGCATCTTCGAGGGAACAGGGGACCATCCACCAATACTCGCACAGACACATTCATGCACACACATGTCCCAGGGGCAAGTGGCCACCCACAGACATGTTGTAGCAGCTGTGCCCGCTTTAAGGTGGCCAGGGGTGTTCCAGGCCTACCTGACCTGTCTTAGACCAGACATCGGGTGGTCAGGGGCAGCCAAACCTCCCCCAGGGCCCACCAGCAGGGGAAGAAGACCTTACCCAACATTCTGAGGGCTGCAGTCTGGGGACCTTGGGATGTCGAGGAGCAGGGACACAACCAACCCAAATAGAGCCTGCTCCCTGCACAGGTGGCCCCAGAGGCCCAGCCTGAGGGAAGCTCTCGGAGTCCCCTTCCCCTCGTTCTTTGCTTCTCCCTCCTGGGCAGAGCATCCCCCTGAAGGAGGGGTAGTAAGTGTTGGAGACATTGGCAGGAGCTGGGCTAAAGTATTGGAAGGTCACCTAGGAGGCAGTAGGGAGTCAATGAGGGTTTGGAGGGTTTGTTCTGGGATCTGTGGCCTCACAATGCCCCCAATGATAGTAGCTTGAATAGGCGTTGGAGCCCCATTTCACAGAGGGGGAAAGTGAGGCAGGTGAGTTCTAATGGTTCAAGCAGGGATCTGAGGTGAGTTAGTGGCAGGCCCTGGAACCAGGACATCTGGCTGACCTGAGGAGTCCCGTGGATTAGCAGCCCCTTACATTCATTCATTCATTCATTCATTCATTCATTCATCTAGCGAGAGGCAGACAGACCCACTTCAAATCCTGCCTCCACCATGTCCTGCCCCACATGGAGCCTCTGTTTCCTCCTCTGTAAAATGGAGATGGAGACTCCCTACTACTCGGAAGCTGGCAGGGGAAGGCAGAGGAGCTAGGGAGCATGCACGTGCTCAGCAATGTCAAAAGCACAGGCCAAGGCCAAGGGTATAGTTCCCTGTTGCTGCTGTAACAAATGACCACAGATTAGAGGCCAGAAGCCACTCACATTCATGCTCTTGCAGTTCTTTTGGTCAAGAGTCCCAAACGGGCCTCGTGAAGCTAAAAATCAAAGTGTCAACAGGGCTTGCGTTCATTCTGGAGTCTTGGGGGCGAATCTCTTTCTTTACCTTTTCAAGATTCTAGAAGCTGCTGGCATTCCTTGGCTCTTAGGCTTCTTCCTCCACCCTCCCGGCCAGTGGTAGCAGGCAGGGTCCTTTTCATACCACCATCTCTCTTCCGGTTCCCTTTCCCACGTTGAAGGCCCCTAGTGTTGACGTTGGCCCCACCCTGAGGATCCAGGATAATCTCCCTGAGAGCCTTAATTAACCATATCGGCAAATCCCTTTTGCCAAATAAGGTGTGACACACTCAGCTGGGTGCAGTGGCTCACACCTGTAACCCTAGCTACTCAGGAGGCTGAGTGGGAGGATCACTTGAGGCTAGGAGTTCAAGACCAGCCTGGGCAATCTAGTGAGACCCTGTCTCTAAAAATTTTTTTTAATTAGCTGGGTGTGGCACATCCCTATGGTCCCAGCTACTTGGGAGGCTGAAGTGGGAGTATTGCTTGAGACCAGCAGTTCAAGGCTACAGTGAGCTATGATCATGACACTGCACTCCAGCCTGGGTGACAGAGCACGACCTCAAATCTTAAAAAAAAAAAAAAGGTAACATATTTCCAAGTTCCAGGGATTAGGCTGTGGGCATCTTCGTGGGGAGGGGCATTATTCTGCCTGCCACCCCAAGTTGAATATTACTATTACTGTCTCCCTATGGGTCTGGAATCATCCACCCACAAATCACTGGGTTTTGCTCCCCCAGCACTGTGCCTCAAATACAGCAGGCCCTTTATGTGCTTGTGGGGAAATGAATGAATGCAGGAAGCCCACTTGGTGGACACAGAAACTGCAGTTCATGCTGGAGCAACCTGCCCAGAATCAGTTAGCATGTTGGGAGGTCAGAGCCCTTTTTTTCTGCACTGGCCCCCGTGTCAGCAAATCTCGAAATGGGACCACCCCCCTCCCAAGGGGCCCGTTCCCGAAAATAGGGCTCCTACCTCCCTCTGTCCTGTTGAAGGGCTTTCCCACCATGTCAACACACCACACATCACACGCTACACACACACACACACACACACACACACACACACACACACACACACACACACACACAGGCTGTCCTTAAACTGAGCATCCCTACCCACAATCTGAGGACAGAACAATGACAATGTCAGTCACTGATCAGAGGCAAAAAAGGAGCCCCAAGTCCCAGCCCCAGCTCAGGCAAAGACTGTGGGCAACGGAGCAAATCACTGCCTTTCCCTGGGCTGTGGCTAAATGTGGGGTTAGACTAGATGCTTGGCACAAGCCTGCCAGCCCTAAGACTCCAATTCTCTGGTACTCTAAATTTCATTCCTTCTATAAATATTTCTTTTTTTATGTCAATATATTTTAAACTTTTTTTTTTTTTGAGACAATGTCTCACTCTGCCACCCAGGCTGCAGTGCAGTGGCACAATCACAGGTCACTGTGGCCTCGACCTCCTGGGCTCAGGCGATCCTCCCACCTCAGCCTCCCAGGTAGCTGGGATTTACAGGCATGAGCCACTGCACCCAGCCAATGTATTTTTAAATTTCTAAAAAAAAATTTATGGACACATAATAGTTGTACATATGTATACAAATATTTCTTTTGACCTTAATTGCACACAGGCCAAGGTCAGGCCCTGGGAGGCAGTGATGGACAAACAGAGACACAGAGTTTACAGAGTAGCGGGGAAACTTGCAATGAGCAAGTAAACAAACAAATGAATATCTAACTGCAAAGTGGGCTAAGAGTTGGAAGCGGTAGTTCAGGGGCCAAAAGAGCACTTGTCTGGGAGGCTATTCTGGCCCCGAGCCTCATAGGGGCCTCCATGAAGAGGTGACGGTACGGCTGCTCTTAAAGATGAGGAGGAGGCATTTAGAAAAGCAAGGACGCAAGGGAGTGCCCAGTCACTATCAGTGCGTGCAAAGGCCCTGAGGTGGGTGGCAGTGCAGCACCTTCCAGGCAGCTCCTGAAGATTATTGTCATTGCAAGGGTCCAGGAGCCAGGTCTTCAGGCACCAGGAGCTCTGCCTGTTTTGTGAACTTCGCCACCCAGGACAGTGCCTGGAACACCATGGGTGCTCCATAAATGCTTGTTGACTGTGTGAATGACCGCTCTGACCTCCACGCTTGCATTTTCTTTCTTTTTTTTTTTTTTAATTATACTCTAAGTTCTAGGGTACATGTTCACAATGTGTAGGTTTGTTACATATGTATATTAACACCGCATGTTCCCACTCGTGGGAATTGAACAATGAGAACACTTGGACACAGGGTGAGGAACATCACACACGCTTGCATTTTCAGGTTTGCACCAGGTAGCGCTCTGAGAGTCCGCTCCAGCGGCTCCTCGTTCATCCTAAGAGACTCATGTTCCACGTTCTCTAGTTCGGGGGGCCTGTTGTGGGGCCCAGCCGGGATGCTCCTTGTGGACTGCACTACTATGGTTCCCAGGGGCGCAGGCAGGCCTGTGGCATGGAGCAGGCTGTGCCGCTCACTTGTAGCCTGTAATTTCAGAGGCATAGAGTGGCACCTGGGCCCTCTGCCCGGCCTAGGAAGGATTCAGAGACCTCACCCTGTGCCCGCCGTGCAATTAGCCGCCGGGGTCCCCCGCCCTGGTGGGCAGCCATGGCTAGGGAGGCAGGGAGGGTGAGGGGAAAACCCACCCCACCTCGATCTGTGCCAGGGTCCTCCCCATCTGCTCCTGGGGCAGCCACCCTGCCCACCACAGCCCCCAGCTCCAGCCCCTCATGGGTGCAGGGCCTCTTCTAATTACACAGTCCCAGTGGCCACTGGAGCCTGTCCTCTGGGCAAAAATAGGCCAAGCCTTTCATGTGGCAAGAGAGGCCTGGGCTGTGGCCCCATTACAGCACAGGCCTGGCCTTTGGAGGGACACCCGTGGAGGGGCCTCCCGCCTGGCACTCCAAGGAGGCAGAGTAGCCTTGTCCCTGAGGACGCTGGCAGAGGCCCGAGGTGGGGTGGGTTTTTCTCCCACCCTCCCTGCCTCCCTGGCCATGGCTGCCCAGAAGGGTGGAGCTCTAGGTGTGTTGTGAAACCTCCTTGGGCCTCAGTTTCCCCACCTGTAAACCAGACATTTTCACTTATTCCCCAACCGTTGACTGAGCACCTGTGTGTGCCAGGAACTGTGCTGGGCACAGAGAGACAGCAGTGAAGGAGGCAGATGCTGCCACACCTTCGCTTGGGCTGTTCCCCCTGCCTGAAGCACTGTCCTCCACAGCCCCTTTGCCTGAC
Organism: Homo sapiens; assembly: GCF_000001405.40. Classification (NCBI taxonomy): domain Eukaryota; kingdom Metazoa; phylum Chordata; class Mammalia; order Primates; family Hominidae; genus Homo; species Homo sapiens. The sequence goes on from NC_000012.12 coordinate 108,603,843, forward strand.
CACCCCTACACACCCTGTATCTATGTCATCACCACCTCCAGGAAGCCCTCCCTGCATGCCAGCCTCTGGAGAGGGAGACCAGCAGCCTCCTCTACACTCCTGTACCCTCTGGGCTCCTGGCTTTGAGCCCTGAGTACACTGGGCTGTAATGCCCTGTTTACATGCATCTCTAGATTGGGAGCTTCTCGGGGCCAGAATCCAGGCCTTTACTGTCACTGTATCTGTGTCACCCACGCCTGGAATATAGTAGATGCTCAGTAAATGCCCTCCCACGAGCCAGTGCAAACTGCTCATGCTATAGATGGGGAAACTGAGGCTCAAGGAGGAGACAGGATTCATTGGGGATACACTGATATTATTTTGCTTGTTTGTAGGTTAATTTAACCAATATTTACTAGGCAACTGCTCCACACCAGCTCCTGCATGGACAGTGCAGGGCAGCCAAGAGCAAGACAGATCAGACTTCCGCCTCAGAGAGCTCCGGGTAAGGGAGGCAGACAAGAAACAAATCAACCAGCAAAGAGGGAAGGTAACCCGATGCTGTGAAGTGCTGTCAGGGAAATGGAAAAGACGAGGAGACAGGGAGTAGCTGGGAAGCGGGTGGGGCGGGTGCCTGGGCAGCTATTTTAGCCATTGTGCTCAAGGATGGCCTCACGAGAGAGGTGTCTGAATGGACACCTGCAGAATCAGGAGAACCACGTATGCAAGAGCAGGAGGAAAAGCCAAGGGGACAAGTACAAGGGCCGTGAGGCAGGAAAGGGCTTGGCATGAAACCTCCTCTGGGGAAATAAGACTGAGCACTGCTGATCCGTTCTTACCAGGGGGCAGTTAGAGCTAGGAAATTGGGAGACTGACATTAGCTACTGGCTCTGCCCCTCCCACACTGTGATCTGAGCCTCACTTTCCCTTCCTATACCAGGAAGGGTCAGAGGAGGCATCAGCAAGCTCTGACGTTCTGTGATTCTTTGTAAATTTTACACCTGTTTCAACAACGATCCCTTCTCCCACCTCCAGCAAATAACTGGATGCTCACCCACTACTGGTGGGAGAGAAAAATGGCACAGCCACTTTGGAAAAACGGTTTGGCGGTTTTTATATAGTTAACCATCCACTTCTCATCTGACCCAGCAATCTCACTCCTAGGCATTATCCGAGAGAAATGAAAACACACATCCACACAAAGGCACAAACACAAAAGATAAAAGTGTCCATGGCAGCTTTATGCATAATAGCAAAAAACTGGAAGCAGCCCAAATGTCCATCAACAGGAGAATGGATGCACAGACGGTGCCATGCTTGCATGATGGAATACTACTCACCAGGGAACAGGAACAAGTGTGGACGAATGCCACAGACACGTGGAGCAAAAGAACTCAATCCAAAAGAACACACATGTCTCCATGAAGTTCTAGAACACAGGCAAAACTAATAGGCCAGGCAAGGTGGTTCCTGCCTGTAATCCCAGCACTATGGGAGGCAGAGGAGGGGGAATTGCTTGAGTTCAGGAGTTCAAGACCAGCCTAGGCAACATAGTGAGACCCCTGTCACTACAAAAAAATTTAAAAGTAGCCAAGTGTGGTACTAATCACCTGTAGTCCCAGCTACTCAGGAGGCTGATGCTGGAGGATTGCTTGAGCCCAGGGGTCAAGGCTGCAGTGAGTCATGGTCATGCCACTGCACTCCAGCCTGGGCAACAGAGCAAGAAAACAAAACAAAACTAAGCTGTGGGGTCAGAAGTCAAAAGTACTGCCCAGGAGGGGCACAAGGACCCTTCTGGGGGTGGACCTGTGTTAAGATCTATACCTGGTTAGTGGTGGTTAGGTGGGTGGTTAGGTTGGTGGTTAGTGGTGGTTAGGTGGTTAGATGGGTGGTTAGTGGTCATTAGGCGGGTGGTTAGGTGGGTGGTTAGTGGTCATTAGGTGAGTGGTTAGTGGTCATTAGGTGGGTGGTTAAGTGGTTAGATGGGTGGTTAGTGGTCATTAGGTGAGTGGTTAGTGGTCATTAGGCGGGTGGTTAGATGGGTGGTTAGTGGTCATTAGGTGAGTGGTTAGTGGTCATTAGGTGGGTGGTTAGGTGGTTAGATGGGTGGTTAGTGGTCATTAGGTGGGTGATTAGGTAGGTAGGTGGTTAGTGGTCATTAGGTGGATGGTTAGGTGGGTGGTTAGTAGTGGTTAGAGGTGGTTAGGTGGGCAGTTAGGTAGTTAGGTGGGTGGTTAGTTGTGGTTGGGTGGTTAGGTGACTAGGTGGGTGGCAGAGTGGTTAGGTGGGTGGTTAGGTGACCAGGTGGGTGGCAGGGTGGTTAGGTGGGTGGTTAGTGGTGGTTAGGTGGACGGTCAGGTAGTTAGGTGGGCAGTTAGTGGTGGTTAAGTGGTTAAGTGGGTGATTAGTGGTGGTTAGTGTTGGTTAGGTGGGTGGTTAGTGGTGGTTAGGTGGGTGGTTAGTGGTGGTTAGGTGGATGGTTAGTGGTAGGTGGGTGGTTAGTGGTTGTTTGGCGGGTGGTTAGTGGTGGTTAGGCAGGTGGTTAGTGGTGGTTAGGTGGGTGGTTAGTGGTGGTTAGGTGGATGCACACATGGAAAAATCAAGCTGTAGTCTTCAGATGTGTGCCCTTCATGTAGGTTATGACTCCCTTAAAAGGCTTTTTTAAATAATAAAGCACCCTGCATCCCTTTCTTTCTGAGGGAGTGACCCCCCGGCTGAAGGCCAGGGGTCTTAGAGCTTCCGGTGGCTGCAGTGGCCCAGCCAGCTGCACACTCCATGTCAACATTTACGTTCCCCAGGGCCTAGTGTAAGATGCGGCTTCATCAGCCCAGCATGGAAGCCAGATGGGCCTGGCAGGAATGTAAACGCTCACCGCACTGCAGACCCGGCTCTGGTGCCCTGCTCTGCCAACTGTTCACTGGTGCCCTTGGGCCAGTCGCTACCAGGAGCCTCACTGGCCAGCAGGAGAAGGAACAGAGGCGATGCTTCTGAAGATGCTTTACAGCCATGGTGGAAATGGGGGCCCTGTCTGTCTTTGAGTCCTTGAGCAGGAGAGGGGCTAGTGGAGAGTGAGAAGTAGTGAAGGCTTGAAGCTGAAATTAAGGGGCCCTGAGCTACCCAAATTCTCAGGTAAGTCACCTCACATTTCTCCTGCTCTCCCTCCACTTCCTTGCTTTACATGAAAACCATCTCTTCCCTCTTCCTCTCCCCTCCGCTCCCTTCCTCCCCTTCTTTTCTCTCCCCTCCCCTGCCCTCTTTCCCTTCTCTTCCCTTCCCTCCCTTCTCCTTCCTTCCCTCCTCCCATCCTCCCCCCTCCCTCCCCCCTTCCTCCCATCCTTCCCCTCCCTCCTCCCCTCCTCTTTCTCTCTCCCCCTTCCTTTATTCCTCTCTCTTTCTCTCTCTCTCTCAACAAATACTTATTAAGCACATACTATGCACCAGACACTTTCCAGGCAAAGAACAACACAGATTAAAAATCTCCATTCTAGCAGGGCGCGGTGGCTCACGCCTGTAATCCCAGCACTTTGGGAGGCCGAGGTGGGCAGATCACCAACAGTCAGGAGTTCAAGACCAGCCTGGGCAACATGGCAAAAACCCATCTCTACAAAAAATACAAAAATTAACTGAGCATGGTGGTACGTGCCTGTAGTCCCAGCTACTTGGGAGGCAAAGATGGGAGGATCACCTGCCCCTAGCGAGACCCTGTCTCAAAAAAAAAAAAAAGAAAAAGAAAAAGAAAAAGAAAATTCCCCTCCTAGCCAGGCACAGTGGCTCTCACCTGTAATCCCAGCACTTTGTGAAACTGAGGCAGGAGGATCTCTTGAACCCAGGAGTCTGAGACCAGCCTGGACAACATGGCAAAACCCTGTGTCTACCAAAAAAAAAAAAATAGCCAGGCGTGGTGGTGGGCACCTGTAGTCCCAGCTACTTGGGAGGCTGAGGAGGAAGGATCACTTTAGCCTGGGGGGCGGAGGTTGCAGTGAGCTATAATCGCACTACCCTGGGCAATAGAGCAAGACCCTGTCTCAAAAAAGAAAACAAACGAACAAACAAACAAAAAATCCAGGTCCCTGCAGAGGGACCCTGCAGAAGGGGGCCGAGCATTGAAAAGCTTGCTTCGTGAGGCCACGAGGTCTGGAGGAGGTGGGAGTCAGTATGGAGGTAAACAGAGCAGGGGTGGGCAGCCTCCATGCAAAGACCCTCAGGAGAAGGGACAGCGAGCAGGGAGTTGCTCAGAGGAGGAGCCCCAGCAGCGGGAAGGGCAGTGCTAAGATCCTCAGGTGGGGGCGCCTGCGTGTTCTTGGAGTAGAAGAGAGCCTGGTGTAGCTGGAACAGAGTGAGTTAGGGGAGAAGGGAAGAATGTGGGGCCCCTGCGGGCATCAGCAGGGGTTTTGGCTTTTTACTACAAGTGAAGAAGATCAACCATGGGTCCCCAAGTGTGTAAAGCTTCACCATTCCCTTCCTCTCCTTGTATCAAGCCCCCTCATCCCCATCCTCACTGCCCCCGCCCCCATTCACACACATACACCCTCTTGGGACCCTGATCAAGAGACAGCGCAGAGCCCCATCTCTGGGGAATGGAAGAAGCTCTGCAATAAGACCCCAGGAAGGTGACCAGCCTGGCCAATATGGTGAAACCCCGTCTCTACTAAAAGTACAAGTTAGCCAGACATGCTCGCTTGAACCCTGGAGGTGGAGGTTGCATTGAGCCGAGATTGGGCCACTGCACTCCAGTGCAGTGTTTGAGACTCTCCATCCAGGTGTCTCCTTCCAGTGTGGGAAACAGAGCAAGACTCTGTCTGACAAAAAGAAACAAAAAACATAACAAAACAAACAAACAAAAACACCCCATGCAGGCCATGCAGTACCCCAGACCTCCCTTGGCCCCTTCCAAACCTGACACCAGCTTCCAACCCAGCTGTGGCTAAAAGCTTGGCACTCGGGGGTTCCTGACCAGCCACCTCCTCCAGGCAGTTGCCACAAGTCAGCCTTCTGCCCCTGGGCCTAGGGACAGCCTCACAGACAGGGTCTTCTGCAACACCCAGGCACACCCACCCATGGGGAAGGGCCACATCGGGGGTGGCAGCACGAAGGTAAAACCGTCAGGATGAGCCAAGACCACCTGCCCTTCCGGGACCTCTGAGTTCTGCTGCCTCTGAGCTGGATGACCTTGAGGGTCAGCCACTCTGACCCTCGGTTTCCTCATCTGTTAAAATGGAGGTAATAACCCTCACTTCTCTGGGTTCTTGTGAGAATTCAGTGAGCCCTCGGCAACTGGCACTTGGTCAATATGCTAATGATAATAACAATCACAGCAACAGTAGTGACACCTGGATGGAGTGTCTTTTTTTTTTTTTTTTTGAGACAGAGTCTTGCTCTGTTGCCCGGGCTGGAGAGCAGTGGCACCATCTGGGCTCACTGCAACCTCCACCTCCCAGGTTCAAGAGATTCTCCTGCTTCAGCCTCCTGAGTAGCTGGGATTACAGGTGCCCGCCACCATGCCTGGCTAATTTTTGAATTTTTAGTAGAGATGGGGTTTCGCCATGTTGGCCAGGCTGGTCTCGAACTCCTGGCCTCAGGTGATCCACCCACCTCGGCCTCCCAAAGTGCTGGGATTACAGGTGTGAGCCACCGCACCCGGCTGACACAGTCTTTATTCACGCCATCTGGGCAGCAGCTAACACAGAAGCCTGGTATACAGCAGGCACTCCACAAGGCTACGGGGTGGAAAGTGACAAAGCAATCAGCCACCCAGCCCGTATCCTCGGAGGAATTGCGTGCAGACCCAGGGCTCGCCTCCCCACTTCAAACCCACAGCCCAGCTGGGGCTCAAGGGTGCATGAAGCCAATTGACCTCCCCAGGGCTGACTCCAACCCTTGTGAATTGGACACACGTGGGTGCTGGCCAGGGGGGATGGGCCGCAACAGCTGGAAACATCTGTTTTGAATTGTCGGTTGGAAGCACCGGCCAGGCAGCCAAGGAATCTGTGAGCTAATTTTAGGCCACAAGACCGAGAGCTCTGCTGGGCGGGGTCTCACTCCCCAAACCACAGGGGCGGGGGCTGTGGGGACATGGAGGCCTCCACGGTACTCCTTGGATGGTCCACGCTGACCCGGCAGCCAGGAACTCTCTCTCCCAGGGTGAGCATTAACTGGCACCGACTGTGTGCCAGGCTGTCCACGCTCACTCCACCCTTCCAAATCCCTAGGAGTAGGAAGGATGCTTCTCCCCATTTCCTAGGTGAGGAAGGGAGGCTGCCAGAGGTCAGCAAGTTGCCCAAGGTCATGCAACTCCTAAGCAGTGGAGCCAGGATTTGAACCAGGGTCGCCTGACTCCAAGCCTTAAACCTAAGGCCCCCCTGCTCTCTGCCCCTGCTGCTTAAATTTTGTCGGTCCCATTGCCTCGCCTCAGCCCCTACGCCCTCTGCAAAGCCTCCCTTGCTAGTCCCTTTATTCACATGTTTCCTGATTCTCTACCATGTGCCAGGCACCAGGCAGGGACAGGGAGAGAGTGGACATGAGGGACACAGGCCCCACCCACAGGCAGCGCAAATCAATCTATCAACATCACTCTGACCGTCACCAGTGCCTTGAAAGGAAAAGGGGGTGTCCTAGTGAATATCTGGGGGCAGGGCTGCAGAGTGGGCCTCTCTGAGAAGGTGACATCCAAGCTGAGGCCTACAGGATGAGAAGATGCCAGCTGTGCAGATATCTGGGAACAGGGCCCCAGGCAGAAGAAACAGCAAGGGCAAAGGCCCTGAGGCAGCACTACCTGAAAAAGAGCAAGAGAGCTCGTGGAGCCGGTGCAGAGTGGGAGGTGACGGGAGCTTTTCTTCACCCGTCCAAGCTAGATGACTGTCAACAGATGAGATGGCATCTGAGCTGGGCAGGAGTCAGGGCCCAGAAGCTTCTGCTGATAGGATCAGACAATCCTGCTAGCCCACGCATTTGTTTGTATCCAGAAATTTGCGGAGGGGCTACTGAACCTCTCAGGAAAATCAGTTGAAGCCTCTCCCTCTCAGGGGCTTGGAGGTCGGGCACAAAGCCAGATAACAGGGACTCCAGAAAGAGCTACCTCAAGGGAGTAGTGGGCATCTCAGAACCAGGGCTGAGACTGACCACCGTTGTGAGAACTCACCCTCACTCGGCCACCCTGGCAGGGTCCCTGTGCCTGTGAAAGGGGCTGTGCTTGTGCCACTTTTGTGCTTAGGTCTCCCTGCCATGGGGCCCTTTCCTTTCTCCTTTTTTCTTGGCAGGAGCAGCAATAAGGCTGTCCCGACGCACATCTCGGCGTGGCGTTCTGGTTCTGCCAACCTTGGGCATAGGTGTGCCCAGTTCTGGGGGGCCCTGTGTGTGTGCTAGAAAAGAGGCAGCAACCACTGCAGCCCTCCAGCCACCAAGGGATGCACAACAACCATGTTCATGATGACACAGAAGCATCTCTGGGTTTCCAGAAATCTTTGGGAAGGGGGGTTCTGGGAATCCCACACTGCCGAAGGGGAAGCCACAGAGCTGGGTTTCTCTACCACGGCACTTTTGGACTTCTGTGCTGTGGGGGGCTGTCCTGTGCACTGTGGGATGTCGAGCAGCATCCCTGACCACCACCCACCAGATGCCCACGATCGTGACAACCAAACACGTCTCCAGACATGGCCAAATGTCCCCTAGGGAGCAAAATCATCCCCGGGGAAGAACCACTAGCTCAGAGCACTCCTGTTTGGGCATTAATAACTAAAGGATAAAGCCTGGGGCCACTAGATTTCCTAACACTTTGGGTTTCTTTCTGTCCATTTGGGAATATTAGGAAAACACAGAAAAGTTGAAAGAAGCAAATTAAGCTCACCCAAAATCCTACCCTCAGTGACTAACCTCTCTCAATAATTTGGTATATTTCCTTCTGGTCATGTTTTCTTCATACTTGATAATCCTACTAGCCACGATTTATGGAGGACTTACCTTATAGCCACGATTTATGGAGGACTTACCTTATAGCCACGATTTATGGAGGACTTAACCTTCTAGCGACTATTTACGGAGGACTTACTTTCTGCAAGGCATCATGCTAAGTACTTTCCATGCCAGTCTCATTAAATCCCCACAACACCCCTGCAAGATGATACTATTATTATCCCATTTCACAGATGAAAAAACTAAGGCTCAGAGTTCATTTAACATCATGTCAAGGGCATTTTTCCATATTATCCTTCAAAAACATCATTTTCAATTGCTGAATCATGTTTGATTGATCATACACCTGGGGCTGCCTTATTTTCTTTACCTCTTCCAAGTTGCTGGAATATTCCACAAACATTTCTGAGTCACCTACTCTGGGCTAGGATCACACTAGAGGCTGAGGGCAAAGATGAGTCACAATTCCTTCCCACAAGCACACAGCATTTTATGCCCAGGGACTGTGTGGGCGAGTGCATGAGTGAGGGGTCGAGAGACCTTGTGCCCCTAAATGCTCAGCAATCAGGTCTCTGTCCACTTCTGCCCCCAGGGGGCGGTACAGCATGATCACCACAAAAGTCCTCAAGGCTAACCATGTTTCGACCCTAATTCACACGACACCTCAAACACAGAGGTTTGATCTTTTGTCGACTGTCTCTAGAGGCAGTTGGGCTACGTCAGTGAAAGACATTAGAAAGAGTTGTTCACCAGTGGCTCATGCCTGTAATCCCAGCACTCTGGGAGGCCGAGGTGGGGCGGATCACTTGAGGCCAGGAGTTCCAGACCAAGCTGATCAACATGGCGAAACCCCATCTCTACTAAAAATACAAAAAATTAGCTGGGTATGGTGGTGCACACCTGTAATCCCAGCTACTTGGGAGGCTGAGGCATGAGAATCGCTTGGACCCAGGAGGCAGAGGTTGCAGTGAGCTGAGATTGTGCCACTGCACTCCAGCCTGGGAGATAGAGCGTGACTGTGTCTCAAAAAAAAAAAAAAAAAAAAGTTGTTCACACAGGAGCTGTTTGTCATTACCTGGTTTCTCTCCCAGTGGATATAAAAAATATCCCATCACGTGGGGTGTGAGAACATCTTTGCCATTACCAAGAGGTGTCATATCGGCAAAGGCTCACATCCTTTTCTGAGGAATGCCACCTCTCCCCACAGCTGCAGGTCCCGCCTCTGGGCAGACGTTCTCACAGTCCTGCCTCCAGGTTTTCCCTCTCTCCCAAGCTGCAGCCTTCTGCTGCCTGGTGGGAGGCCTCTCTCAGGGCAGTACCCATTACATCAACCAGGTTCATTCACCTGCACTCTGCAGGCCAGGCTGGAGTGCGGTGGTGCAATCATAACTCACTGCAGCCTTGACCTACCAGGATCAAGGGATCCTCCCACCTCAGCTTCCTGAGTACCTGGGACTGCAGGTGTGCGCCACCATGCCAGGCTAATTACTTAAATTTGTAGAGATGGGGTCTCGCTATGTTGCCCAACCCAGGCTGGTTTCGAACTCCTGGCTCAAGTGATCCTCACGCCTCAGCTTCCCACAGTGTTGGAGTCACAAGCGTGAGCCACGGTAACATACAATCTGGCCAGGCTGTATGTTATATTGTGTGATTCCGATGATAAGTTCTGGAAAAGACCAGTGGTTACCCTTGGTGGGGAGGGAATGATTTGGAGGGACTTGCAGGGACCCTGTAATATGATAGAAACTTGTCTTATTTGGGGGAGCCATTGATAGTCTCTGAGCAGGGGAACAGCCACAGAAGGTAAGGACATTCACAGGGGACTTCCAGGAGGTGTGGCTTCCTTGGGCTTCCCGGTCACTCAGTCCCTGGGAGGGGCAGGGACAGCAGCTGTGGAAGCTCCAAGGAGCATGCCCAAGGCCCTCTGCCCTCACACACGCCTTGGCAGACCTCTGGGCTCACACAGCCTTGGGAATTCCCCCCAGTTCTGCTTCTGGCTCCTTGAAGCTGTCCCTCCAGCGGGGAACTAATACAGACGTCTCCCATCTCATAGAAGGAGAAATCGGGGCCTGAGAAGGCGGTGGCATGCCCAAGGTCTCATAGAGTGAGTCCAGGGGTGGTGGAAGGACGCAGCCCCCTCTGCTCCCTCAGCAATCTTTGGCACCACCTCCTCCCCGGCACCCAGCTCTGTAGAGGCTTCGTGAATGGGCAGTGCCCAGTGACTGCCTCCCAGTGACCCCCTCTCCCAGTTGGGGATGCTGTGAGCACAGAGTGGCCTCCAGAGAGGAGCTCTGTGGCTGATGAGAAGTCACGCCAGGACCTGGCTTGGAGAATTGGAGATTTGGAGATTTGGGGACTTCCCAGCCCCTTCTCAAGGAGCCAGCCTTTGGTGGCTGGTGGCCCCAGAAAGTCTTAGGAGTTTACTCCCGAATCTGTGATTTTTCATGCTGTGTGGCCTTAGGCAAGTCACTGAACCTCTCTGGGCCTCCATTTGCTCATCCATAAAATGGGGTTGAGAATAAGACCTAACCTCACAGGGTAGGTCGACTTCTGCTATTGTCAAGGGTAATTGTTTACAGTGCCCCGGGCCCTATGAGCATCCCATGTTACAGATGAGGACTGTGAGCCTTGGAGAGACACATGGCAAAGACAGAACCAGGCATCAGACTGACTTCTGTCTCCTTCCCAAGTCTTCTGGGGAATGAAAAATCCCTGCCTTGTGTGACTCTTATCTGAGTGGGAAGGACACATAAGCAGTGGCCACTTGATGGCATAAGCAGACACAGAGACGCCCATTCTACACATGGAAAGATTGAGGCCCCAGATGGAGGAGGAATAACCTGGAGTTAACTGTTGGCCAACCAAGCTGGTCTCTGTGCCCAGGACTGGGGCAAAGACGGGGTGAAATACTGCCCCGCAGCAAGTAGGGTGATGGGGGTGAGCAAAGGAGGAGCCCAGAGACATGGCTGGATCCAAAAAGATCTCCAGGGCCTGGGGGAGCTGAGCCCTAAAAGTGGAAACAAAAGGCAGAGAGGGCAGGAGCCGTGGGGCATGGGTGAGGAGGAGTGAGAGGGCCGGTTTGCCCAGACAGGCAGACATATAGGTGAGTGGGCAGCGAGTGAGGAAGCTGGAAACTTCTTGTGGACTTGGGCACTGGGGAGCCATTGATAGTCTCTGAGCAGGGGAACAGCCGCAGAAGGTAAGGACATTCACAGGGGACCTCAAAAGATGTGGCTTCCTTGGGCCTCCCCGTCACCCAGTCCCTGGGAGGGGCAGGGACAGCAGCTGTGGGAGCTCCAAGGAGCATGCCCAAGGCCCCCTGCTCTCACACATGCCTTGGCCGACCTCTGGGTTCACACAGCCTTGTGAATTCACCTGCTTGCCTGCTTGCTTATTGGTTTGCTTGCTTCTTGGGGTATATTTTACACACAGTAAAAAGCACCAATTGTAAAAATGCAGTTCAGTGAGTTTTGGCAAATGCAGACACCCGTATGACAACCAACCAGACCAAAATAAAACATGTTTCCATCATACCAGAGGGTTCCTGCAAGCCGCTGCTAATCATTTCCCACCCCCAAGAGTAACCACTGATCTTTTCCAGAACTTCTTATCATTGGAATCACACAACATACAGCCCAGCCAGATTGTATGTCACTGTGGCTCACGCCTGTAACCCCAACACTTTGGGAGGCCGAGGCAGGAGGATCAGTTGAGCCAGGAGTTTGAGACCAGCCTGGGTTGGGCAACATAGCAAGACCCCCATCTCTACAAAAAAATAAGTAATTAGCCTGGCATGGTGGTGCACACCTGCAGTCTTAGCTACTCAGGAAGCTGAGGCAGGAGGATCGCTGGAGCTTGGTAGGTCAAGGCTGCAGTGAGTTATGATGGCGCCACTGCACTCCAGCCTGGGTGACAGAGTGGGACCCTGTCTCTAAAAAGAAAAAAATATATAGCCTTTTGTGTCTAGCTTCTTTCAGTCAGCATGGTGTCTTTGAGATTCATCCATGTTGGCATGAGAATCAGTGCCTCACTCCTGTTTATTCAGAGTAATATTTCCTTGCACAGATGGACCACAGTTTATTTATCCATTCACCAGCTGATGGATATTTGGGTTGTTTTCAGTTTGGGGATCTTATGAACAAAGCTGCTGTACACATTTGTAGCAGTCTTTGTATGAACATCTGTTTTCATTCTCTTGGGGAGATACCTAAGAATGGGATTTCTGGCTTGGATGGGGAGTACATGGTGAGTACACGTCTAACTTTATAAGAAACTGCCCAACTGGTTTCCAAAGTGGCTGTATCATTTTGCATTCCCACCAGCAACATGTGAGTGTTCTAGCTTCTCCACATCCTCACCAGCACTGGGTGTTGTCAGTCTTTCTAATTCTAGTCCTGCTGGAGGGTGTGAAGTGGCATCTGACTGTGGCTTTAATTTGCATTTCCCTGATGGCTAATGACCTCAAGCATCTTTTGCAACAGCTTTCCTGGAACCTCCACCTGGAGGTTGAGCAGGCCCTGAGACCCAACTTGGCTGAACCCCAGCTCAGGACACTCCTCTTACCACCAGCCCTGCAACCTCCTTCCATGGCTTTCCCAGCCACCCCGTGGCACCCTCATCAGGATAGCTGCCCAAGTCAGAAACCTGAGATTTCAACCTCCTTTTTCCTCACTTCCAACCCATCAGCAACTCCTACCCTTTTCTTCCCAATTACCTCTCGATTCCACAACTTCTTTGCACCCTGCTCTAGTCCAGGTTCTCCTCATCCTCACACAGCCTCTTCCTCCTCCATGCGGCCACCCTGGCTCCTTCCAGCTGCCCCCACCTTGTCTGCTCCCCTAGTGCAAACTCCTGTGCCCATGATGCTCCCACTGCCTGGAACTTTCTTCCCTCTATCCCTTCCCTCCCAAGTCAATAACTCTGTGTCCTTCAAGTTTCAACCATGATTTTCCTGACCCATGCCCCCCAGCTCTGGCCCCATTGCTCCCAGCATCTCTCCTCTGGGCTCAGGGCCCAGCCATAATCTGACATAATCTGATCTTTTCCTGGGTGATTATTTGATCAATCTGTCCCCCTCTAGACCATGAGCCCCAAAGGGGTCTCGAACTCCTGGCCTCAAGTTATCCGCCCACCTTGGCCTTCCACAGTTCTGGGATTACAGGCCTGTCCTACTCACATGGCATCCCAGGGCCTCTCACAGTGCCTGGCACATTCCATAGTAATCGGTGGCTTGGTTGAGTGGCAAAGAGGGATGGGATCTGGGGAAAGAATTTGGGGAGCCCCTGCCAGATCAGCTGCTGGATGAACCACCCCCAGGGTGGCAGCCCCAGCCTGTAAGAGACAAGGGACCTGGAACAAACTGAGCCCATCATCCCCCGCCCCCCATTTCCTGTCTACCCTCCTTCCTTCCCTGCTGGCAGAGCTGAAGTCAGCACAGTGTGGTTTCCTAACCGTGCAACCGGCTGGAGCAAGTGGTTCAGCTTTCTGAACCTCGGTTTCCCTGGCAAGAAAATGGAACAATCATTGCACCCACATTATGAGGTTGAGTCCTAAATGAGATAATGCAGACAAACTGTTTGACAAGGCACTAGGTATGCAGTAAGTGCTCAGTAAAGGCCAGCTGCTTGCCCCCGGCCATCCCTCTTAGTCCTAGGCCCCAGCTCTGCTGTGTTGTGTTCTCTGCAATGAGAGGGCTGCGCTGTACTCGGTTACCCTCCCAAGGAACAGCGCCTTCCCTCAGCAGCCAGGAGCCACAGAGGGTGACTAATGGGGGACTTCCAGGCCCCAGGGCAGGTCAGCAGGGCTGAGGTTTTGGGGCGTGGGATTCCCCCAGAACCCCGCTGTGATCTCAAGGACAGCGTGACACAGTGGTAAGATCCTGGCTTTCAGGTCTGGGTTCCAATCTCAGATCCTCTTCATGACCTGGGGCAGGTGACTTCACCTAGCTCTCATCCTCAGTTTCATCTTCTGTAAAATGGGGAGAATACTAGAACCGTCTGTGAGAGCTGTTTGAGGGGATTCACGGGGATATTGCAGCTGTGTGTGTGTTCAGGATGTGTTTGCTGAATGGATGAGTGGGGTGATTCAGGCTGGTGGTCCTCAAGGGCATGGGAGGCCCAGGCAGGAGGGGAGGGCACAGGGGTGTGCAGGAGCCAGACTATATCTGCCCGTGAGAGCTAATCAACAAAATTTTCAGAATTTTGTGTCAGTTGTTTAATAAATTAAATTCTATTATATTAAAAGCCAAGGTCATCAGTACTCAAAACTCACCAATTCCTAATAATTGTACTACATTATCCGATGATCGATGCCCTTGTTACTAACACCTATTGTATCATCAACTATATAATGGTTGGTAGCTCAAAATCGGCTGTGGGAGTATTTACATGGAAGACATTGGCAAATGCTACAAATCAGGACTTTTTCCCATTGGAAGCCAGTTGTTAAACACTTAACAGCACGCCACTGGCTTTGGGGCTCCTTCCTGGCTAAATGATCTCCAAGTCTGGCCCAAGGGAAACGCAGGCTTCCACCTGCTCTAAGAGCTGGCGGCGGGCGCCCCCTGGTGGCCGCTTCAAGCACCCGGCTTCGCCCACCCTGAATGAAATCCCACACCTTGGAGAGAGAGAAAACTGTAAAGGGAAGGTGGCCCTCTTCCAACGCAAATGGAAATCTGTGGTTACACAGCATCCTCAGGAGCTGTCAGGAAATAGGGGAAAGCTCCCAGGAAGACGAGGTGACAAGATCCCTGGGGAACAACTCAGAGGTCCTTCAGCCTGAGTCCACAGCCCCCTGCTGTGGAGCCTTCAGCTCCCCTTCTCTGATTTTTCTGATCCCTCCCAAAGGGGAGGTAGACTCAGTCTCTCCTGACCCATCAGCCTGCCGACCCCGGGTGTTAACTGACCCAGCCCATGGCAGACACTCCCACCTTCTTCCATCAGCACCCCCAGGACACTTTGAACACACCTGCCTGTGTGTATCAGATTTGATCCTTCCAGAAGTTCAGGGGAGGAGACAGACACTGCATTTCCAATATGTGTGGGCCCTCTCCCCACTCCTCCCCGATGCTGTCCCATGGCCTTTCCCCCTGACGGCTCTTTCCTACCTTTCCCTTGTCTCTTTCCTCCAACCCCTCTCTCCCAAGCCACAGCCAACCCCTGCCAGACTCAACCTTCTCTGTGAACTCCCCTTTTCCGGGATAAACCATTGGGGGCAAGGAAAGAAGTCCTTCACTTCCAAAGAGGCCATTGAAGGTATTTTTTTTCTTTTTCCTTTTCTTTTCTTTTCTTTTTTTTTTTTTTTTTTTTTGAGACAGCTTTTCACTGCTGTTGCCAAGGCTGGAGTGCAATGGCATGACCTTGGCTCACTGCAACTTCTACCTCCCAGGCTCAAGTGATTCTCCCACTTCAGCCTCCTGAGTAGCTGGGACTACAGGCGCACATCACTGCACCTGGCTAATTTTTGTATTTTTTGTAGAGACGGGGTTTCACCATGTTGCCCAGGCTGATCTCAAATTCCTGAGCTCAAGCCGTCCTCCTGCCTCGGTCTCCCAAAGTGCTGGGATTACAGGCGTGAACCACCACACCCAGCCGGAGGTATTTTTCAAGAAGAAAAATAAAGACTATCCCCTGAGATGACTTTTATTCCTCTCCTAGAAGGTAGAACAGAGTCTGTTTAAGCGGCAGCTTCTTTCTCTCTCTATGGAAATGACTGGAAGGTATTTGGGAGCAGAAGAGCAAGAACTCTCCAAATCCTGGTTTTCTAATCTGACTGAAACTGCCTTTGCAAAAATTATAACTGAGGAAATGATGACAGTGGAAGAGACCAGACCGAACAGACTCCATCTTGCTTCTAGCCTTTAAGCTGTCCTTGTTCATTCCTTCCCCAAAGTTAGGCTGAACTAACTTTGGGAAATAATTCAGTTCGTGTTTTGACTCTGAAACAAAATTAATAATATCCCTTCCCCCCGAAAAGACCCCCTTCTTGCCTGGGGACCGATCTGCCTTTGCAGGACTAACAAATTAGCTACAAGATTCGAAATTATGGTTTAGGGGTCATGCAGCCTCTGGCTCCAAGAGTCTAAGCCTCCCCAAATTGCTCCTGTGGATAACATCAGTATTGTAAAACCTCAGAGCACTACGTGAGATATTTTGCAGACCCCGCACTGGATGGATCAGTTGACACCACCTAGGCTGGTATTCTGGCTCAACCAGTTCTGCCATCGCAGCCGGGAACAGAAGACATGAAGAAAACCTCACTGCAACCCCCTATGACTGTATCTCCAACCTGACCAATCAGCACTCCCAACTTCCCAAGTCCTTACCCGCCAAATTGTCGTTAAAAACTCTGATCCCCGTCTCCTGTACAGCCTGCTCTGCATGAATTACTCTGTCTCCCTTGCAATTCCCCTGTCTTGATAAATCGGCTCTGTCTAGGCAGCAGGCAAGGTGGATCCACTGGGCGGTGACCTGACCCCCACAAGGTAGTGTGAGTTTTGAATGGGATAATGCAAGTGTTGCTTAAATAGCAGGGCCAACCTGGTTTACTGGGGCTGAGTTTCACGGAATATGGGACTTTCAGTGCTAAAATCAAGAAAGTTCCGGGCAAACTGGGACGACTGGTCACCCTATGCTTAAAATCAGGCGTCAGCAAACTGACGGAGCTGAAATGAGCCTGCCGCCCGTTTGTAAATAAAGTTTTATTAGAACACAACCATGCGCATTCATTTATGGACATATTGTCAGTGGCTGCTTTTGTACTACAAGGACAGAGTTGAGTTGTTGCAACAGAGGCTATGGTGTTGCAACAGTTAAGGCCTACAGTATTCACTGTTTGGTCCTTTAAGAAAAAGTTTGGCAGCTTGAACTTTTCCACCATTTGACAGCAAATCAGTGCTTCTGTGAGTTGTACAAAAGGTTGCAGGCTGCATCTAGGATCACCAATAAGCTACTGGCTGTTAATGAGAGACAGGGCCTGAGTGAAAAGGAGAGGTCAGGGTGAGCTTCTGGAGAGTGGGAAAGATTCTGTGCTTGGCCAAGCTTTAATCAGTCAGGCCCCTGAGTCCTCTCCTAGGCCCATCTGTGCACTTCCTTTTAAAATCCAGTTCTGGGCCGGGCGTGGTGGCTCACACCTGTAATCCCAGCACTTTGGGAGGCCAAGGCGGGAGAATCACCTGAGGTCGGGAGTTCAAGACCAGCCTGACCAACATAGAGAAACACCATCTCTACTAAAAATACAAAATTAGCTGGGCGTGGTGGCGCATGCCTGTAATCCCAGCTACTCAGGAGGCTGAGGCAGGAGAATCACTTGAACTCAGGAGGCGGAGGTTGCAGTGAGCCAGATCGCGCCATTGCACTCCAGCCTGGGCAACAAGAGCAAAACTCCATCTCAAAATAAATAAATAAATAAAATCCAGTTCTAACAAGAACTCTGCTAAGTCAGCTTAGCAACAACCCTCCCCCCACCACTCCATATCTGATCACCTCCCATATCTGATCACCTCCTATATCTGATCACGTTCCTCATCTGCCACCATCCCCCCGGTGATGTCTGAGCACCCTGGCCTGCCTCCAGTATGAATCCTGTTAGGTCAGTGTAGAAAATGACCGAGAACCCATCCCCAGCAGTCAGTTTAGCCAGAATTCCCCTTCCCCTGATGTTTCCTCTTGGTAATTTTCCAGCTGCAGATATCCAACCCTGTTCCCTGGCTATCAGCTCCCACTTGCCCCTGCTGTACTCATAGTTGAGCCCAAATGCCCCCACTGCAAAATCCCATAGCTGCAGTCCCTGCAGTGATTGAGAGAGTCCCACTCCCCTTGAACAAAGTCTTCCTTACCATGCTTTAACAAGGGTCATTGAATCTTTTTTTTTTTTTTTGAGACGGAGTCTTACTCTGTCACCCAGGCTGGAGTGCAGTAGCGTGATCTCAGCTCACTGCAACCTCCCTCCGCTTCCCGGGTTCAAGCAATTCTCCTGCCTCAGCCTCCCCAGTAGCTGGGACTACAGGCATGTGCCACCACACCTGACTAATCTTTGTATTTTTAGTAGAGACAGGGTTTCACTATGTTGGCCAGGCTAGTCTTGAACTCCTGACCTCAGGTGATGTACCTGCCTCGGCCTCCCAAAGTGCTGGGATTACAGGCATGAGCCACTGCTCCCAGTCCCATTTTTTTTTTTCTTTAACAGGAGGATAGATTGATGTTTAGAGGGATATTGGTCCGAGGTTTGGGGGGGACCAAACTCTGTGGGCCAAAACTGGGTAATGGAGGAAGTGGAATAAAGTGGTCACTGGTGGGGAAGGGGCAGCCCTCCCTTTGGCCCCCCATAGCCTGAACTTTTCCTGGTCACCCAAGGATGTACAAGACCCCCTGTTGTCCAAGAGGCAAAACTGAAGTCAACCTAACAGCCCATGAAAGAGGCTTCCTGGGGGGCCAGGGGCTGAGGGCAGACAGCTGAGGACCAGCCCCCATCCTGCACTGAGGGATGGAGAATTCCGGGAAGGCTGCCTGAAGGAGACAGCCTTGAAACCTTGAAGGATTCCGCTATCGTTTGTCCATCACATATTTATTGCCTGCACTGGACCTGCAGTTGGGATACTGCAGTGAACAAGACAGAGTCCACCCTGGAAAGTGGCCACAGGGGAAGGCAAGAGGCGATAGCTGGGGGTCACTTGTCACTAGATGGAAGCTCCTTGGTCCACACAGTCCCAAAGAAAGGTCTGCCCTTGGGCCCACGAAACCCATCCCAGCCCTCACAGGCTGAACCTCACCCTGGGTTTTCCCAGAGAGGTGCCCAAGAAGACCCAAGCTGCCCCAAGTCAGAGGAGCAGCAGGAAACAGCCTCAGAAGTCCGTCACTCTTCAGTACTCCTCCCTTAGAATGTCCACTTCCTGTTTGGTGACCATGGCAACCAAAAGACAATGGCAGTGCAGTGCGTGTGGGATGGGGGAGCTCCATCTTCCTTGGGTACATGGGGAGGAGACTCCAGTGACCAGGAGAAGCGGGGAGAGCCATGGGAGATGTTAGAGGGACCCAGAGAAGATGGGGGACAGGAAAAAGGAGAGAATCTGTCTCAAGTAAATGGCCTCCTGCCTTGGACCTCGGCTGAAATGTGGCTGGGCTTCATCCGCGGAGGGAGGAAAGAGGTGGCTCCACTTGCCCGTCTGCTTGGCCCCAGGCTGCTCTTGTCCTGTTTGGGTGGCCAGAGTTCCTTCCCTGAAGATCCCCATCCCCAGGGGTCTCCGAGGAAGCCCAGAGCTGTGGAATGGGGTCTGGGCACTCAGGGGTGGCCCAGGAGAGCCCGTGGAGGTGGGGTCTTGCCAAAACAGATGGCAGAGTGAGCTAAGGGAGGAAGCTGTGCAGGGTGAGGTCATCCCCCTCACGGTCCTCCCTGGGCTCTGGCGTCAGGCCCGGGCTCTTGGCCTTGGACAGGCCCCCATTGGCTGTGGCAGAGGGCCCCTCACCCCCATCAGGCAACAGGGATGAGATGCAGACCATCTCGGTGGGGGAGTAATTACGCACGGGGTACATGTGGCCCTTGCGGGAGAGGCGGACCGCCAGCACCACAGTGCACACGAAGAAGATAGTGGCCACCAGCGCCAAGATTAGGATGGCCAGCAGGCACTGCTTCACAGAGATGTGGTCTGGGGCCCCCACTGGGTAGTTGACGGACAAATTGCTGGCTGCCATGGGAATGCCCTTGTGAGTAACAGAGGACACAGAAAAGGGTATGAACAGACCTCTTTTGGTAGTAGGTTCCATGGACAGGGCCTCTGTGGCACTGGGTTCTGTGGACAGGGCCTCCATGGCTGCCAGTGGAGTGGTCTGTGCCTCCGTGGCTGTGGGTTGAGTGGTCTGTGCCTCCGTGGCTTCTGGTGCAGTGGTCTGTGCCTCCATGGCTGTGGTTTGAGTGGTCTGTGCCTCCATGGCTGCTGGTGGAGTGGTCTGTGCTTCCATGGCTGCTGGTGCAGTGGTCTGTGCCTCCATGGCTGCTGGTGCAGTGGTCTGTGCCTCCAGGCCTGTGGGTTGAGTGGTCTGTGCTTCCGTGGCTGCTGGTGGAGTGGTCTGTGCCTCTGTGGCTGCCAGTGGAGTGGTCTGTGCCTCCGTGGCCGTCAGTCGAGTTGTCTGTGCCTCTGTGGCTGCCAGTGGAGTGGTCTGTGCCTCCGTGGGCACTGGTTGAGTGGTCTGTGCCTCCGTGGCTGCTGGTTGAGTGGTCTGTATCTCCATAGCTGCTGAATCCGTGGACAGGTTCCCCATGTTGGCCAGCTCCGTGGTCAGCTCTGTGACTGCCCCTCCTGCATCCAGGCCAGTAGAACGCCTTGCAGCAGGCTCCACAGTGGTAGACTCAGGGGTTCCAGGCCCAGTCAGAGGAGTGGTGTCAGTGCTGTTCCTCAGCATTTCTGGAGGCTCCGTTTCTGGCAGGAAATCATAATCTAGGTACTCATATTCGGTGGCCTGTCTCCGGTCCCGGGCAAGCAGGGGACCCAAGGCTTTCTCGGCTTCATCTGCCCAGGTGTCCCACAGCTGCAAGCTGTTGCCAGGGCCCAGTAGGATCAGCAACAGGAGGAGTTGCAGAGGCATGGCACCTAGGAGGAGACAATGGGCGGAGGGATGTCAAGACAGTTTCACCCTTGGGCTTAGCAAGCACCCTAGACCACCACCCTCTACTGCCACAGCTGGAAGCATGTCTGGTCTGGAGCAGGGACTGGGGACTTAGGCATCCCTGACATGCCTGGGATGGAGAAGATCCTCAGCCAGTAGCAGTTATTATTATTACTCATCAACATGAATAAAGCCATCCAGGAGGGCCCTTTAACTTCTTCTAGATGGTGCATAGAAATTGATTTGCCTCCCTCTCCATTTTGGTTAAGCCACTTTATTTGTGGACAAGACAATCCACTGGGGTGTAGAAAGATTTAGTGCTTCTGCTTCTAGTTCTATTAACTTTTCATGTCACTCCTTTTTTCTTTTTTTTTTTTTTTAGATGGAGTCTTGCTCTGTCACCCAGGCTGGAGTACAGTGGCGCTATCTCAGCTCACTGCAACCTCCACCTCCCGGGTTCAAGTGATTCTCCTGTCTCAGCCTCCTGAGAAGCTGGGATTACAGGCATGCACAACCACACCCAGCTAATTTGTGTATTTTTAGTAGAGACGGGGTTTCACTATGTTGGCCAGGCTGGTCTCAAACTCCTGGCCTCAAGTTATCTGCCCACCTTGGCCTTCCACAGTTCTGGGATTAGGCATGAGCCACTGCGCCCGACCTCATGTCACTCCTTCTTAATTTCAAGTATTACATTATTTATAATCTATCATAAGAGTAAAGTAGTACCTGCACAGAATTCATAAATAGATTAATTGACCACTTACGAAGTCCATAAGCAGAAGAGTTTGTAAACCACAGACCTCCCAGATACCGCTGCTTATTGGACCTTTGAGGCCTCTTGGAGTCTGATTCTACCTGCTGCCCCCTCTCCCTGCCCACTGCCATGCCACCTCTATATGTCTGTCTTCCTCCTTCTCCTATCTTGCTTCCACCCTCCATAGCCCTTGCCAGTCCTCAGAGTCTCAGTTTGTCTCATTCCTTCTCAATGTCTTGTCTTGGTCCCATTTGCTTTGGTGGTGTTCTTGCCTGCACAATGCACAACAGGGATGACGGTGCCTACTTCACAGCCTATTGTGAGGATAAAATGAAGGGATGCATGCAAGACCCTTAGCACTTCGTTTGCATGACAACCTCTCCGCAAAGACTGGCTGATTTAGTTCTTTCAGTCAACCTGCACTATAAGTCTTCAAGGGCCCAGGGCTACTTAATTACACTCTCCATGGCCAGGAGAAAACTCAAATCTCTTCAGAACAGCCCTGCTCTCAGGAAGCTTATAGTCACTGAGTGTGCCTGTGGGTAGGACCACTGTCTATTCAGAGACTCTACATTGTCCTCCCTACTAGGTAGCCAGAAAAGACAGTGCCTCTTGTTTGGTCATCTCATTGATCTTTCTTCTTGGCATTGTGAACACCTGTGCTTTCTTGTTTTCTTTCTCTCCCCTCATGCTCTCCTTGGCACTGGCTGGTGTTTACAGAATTAAAAATTCTATGCTGAGAATCCTATGGTGAGTGACAGCCACGTTCTGGGGCAGGATTCAGGTATTCCTGCATTCCCTGGATATAACACCCTTCAGCAGCACACAACTTTTAGAATAGTGTCTGATGCAGAGTGGGCATTCAAGAATAGCACCCGGACAATTTCCAGTCTCTTCCTTTGTACTTCATTCACATGATTTGGAGGAACGAACAGTTGCTCATCATTCCTCGGGTGACTGTAACTCACTCACGGGCCCCTCACCTTCCAGCCAGGTTCAATCTGATCTCTTTCATATGTTAGTTAGAATTATGTTGGTTTCTTTTCTTTTTTTTTTTTTTTTTTTTCTCCAAGACAGAGTCTCGCTCTGTTGCCCAGGATGGAGTGCAGTGGCACGACCTTGGCTCACTGCAACCTCCGCCTCCCGGGTTCAAGCAATTCTCCTTCCTCAGCCTCCCAAGTAGCTGGGACTACAGGCGCACACAACTATGCCCAGCTAATTTTTGTATTTTTAGTAGAGACGGGGTTTCGCCATGTTGGTCAGGCTGGTCTCAAACTCCTGACCACAAGCAATCTGCCCACCTCGGCCTCCCAAAGTGCTGGGATTACAGGGCGTGGGCCACCGTGCCAGGCCTATGTTGGTTTCAAATATGCAAATCTGATCATATCTTAAACTAATTTATTTCCATTTATTTATTGACTTACTTATATTAGAGACAGATTCTCACTTTGTCGCCCAGTCTGGAGTGCAGTAGTGCAATTATAGCTCACTGCAGCTTCGACCTCCTAGGCTCAAGTGATTCTCTCACCTCAGCCTCCTGAGTAGTAGGGACTATATGCACATGCCACCACATCTGGTTAATTTTTAATTTTTTTTTTTTTGTAGAGACGGGGTCTTGCTGTTGTCCAGGCTGGTCTCAAACTCCTGGCCTCAAGCAATCCTCCTGCCTCGGCCTCTCAAAGCACTGAGATTATAGGCATGAGCCACCACACCCGACCCACATCTTAAAATAATTTCTTAGGCCAGGTGCAGTGGCTCACGCCTGTAATCCCAACTGTTTGAGAAGCCAAGGCAGGTGGCTTACCTGATGTCAGGAGTTCAAGACTAGTCCGGCCAACATGGTGAAACCCTGTCTCTACTAAAAATACAAAAATTAGCCGGGCGTGGTGGTGCTCCCTGTAATTCCAGCTATTTGGGAGGCCAAGGCAGGAGAATTGCTTGAACCTGGGAGCCAGAGGTTGCAGTGAGCCAAGATCACACCACTGCACTCCAGTCTGGGAGACAAGAGCAAAACTCTGTCTAAAAAATAAAAAAATACTTTCTTAAACCAAACTTTACGATATTTGCACCAGAGACATCTGGCCCTCACAATTATCCCCATTTTACCAAGGACCACACTGAGGTTAAGAGAAGTGAAGTGACTTGCCCAAAGACACACAGCTGGTGAGAGGTCAAGATCAGACTGAAACCCAGTGAGGTTCAGGAAGGCATGAGGCCGTCAGGAGACACCTGACCTAGTTGAGGAGACAGAAGGCTGGGCTTGTGGACTTGGGTGGGAGAGGGAGGGCAGAGTAAGAAAAAGGAGGAGCTTGAAAGTTATGTCCCCCAGAAAGGCCTGCCACATATTTACCGGGTGCCATGCAGGGCATAGGGTTGAAAGCATAGATGTGGGGTCAGACAAAAAGGATGTTCAAGTCCTAGCTCTGTCCCTTACAAGCTGTATGACCTTGACACAGATGCTTGCCTCCCTGAGCTTCAGTTTTCCCATCTGTAAAATTGGGATAAGAAACAGTGCCCATCTCACAGGGCTGTTGAGACAGTGCAACAAGGGGATAGATTCAAAAGTTCCAGGCTGGTGGGCATGGTGGCTCATGCCTGTAATCCCAGGACTTTGGGAAGCCAAGGCAGGCAGATCACTTGAGCCCATGAGTTCAAGACCAGCCCGGGCAACATAGTGAGATCCCCATCTCGACACAAATAGAAAAATTAGGCCAGTCACGGTGGCTCACTCCTGTAATCCGAGGACTTTGGGAGGCCAAGGCAGGTGGATTGCTTGAGCTCAGGAGTTCCAGACCAGCCTGGGCAACATGGTGAAGCCCTGTCTCTCGTCTCTACAAAATACAAAAAATTAGCCAGGAGTGGTGGTGTGCCCCTGTAGTCCCAGCTACTCAGGAGGCGGAGATGGGAGAATTGCTTGAGCCTGGAGAGATTGAGGCTGCAGTGAGCTGTGATCATGCCACTGCACCCCAGCCTGGGTGACAAAGCAAGACCCTGCCTCAAAAATAAAATAAAAAAATTTTAAATAGAAAAATTAGCCAGGCATGATGATGCACACCTATCGTCTCAGCTACTGGGGAGGCTAATGTGGGAGGATCGCTTAAGCCTGGAAGGTTGAGACTGCAGTGAGCCGAGATTGTACCACTGCACTCCAGCCTGGGCGACAGAGTGAGACCCTGTCTCAAAACAAAACAAGAAAACAAAAGTTCCAAGCTTACAGTAGGTGCTTAATAAATGTAACACACACACACACACACACACACACACACACACACACACACACACTTTTGCCTCCCAATTTGCCTTCAGGGCAGCAGAATTTCTTTGGGGTAGAGTTCTTATCTGGGGGAAGAATCTACGGCCCAACCTTGGCCCCACTTTCCTGGAGGCAGGGACTTTAGGAAGAAGCCATTAGCCTAGAGACATATTTCATACTTATGAGCACACTCACAGCTACCAACCCCCACTTGGGCAGTTCTCTGTTCCTGGAAGGCAAAGCCCTCAGCCACTTCCTGGAAGCAGAGAAGGTGGGGGCAAAGTTGCAAGGCCTGGTCTCCCTGGTTCCCGGGTTGGGGGAGGCATCTTGGTGAGTCAGGGCCGGACTTGCAGCAGGCCGGAGGCTGGGAGAATAACACAGAAACACGGAGGGTGCTGGGGCCCAGTTCTTCAGGTAGGCTGTCACTGTTGCCCACCCTTCCCCTACAGCCATCCCCACAGCCTCCTGCACCCAGAGACAGCTGGGGTGGAGGAGAGGCTGGGGCCTGAATCCCACATTTGCCCCCACTTAGCGGCTGTGTAAACTCGGGCAGGTTGCTTCACCCTCTCTAAGCCTCAGTTTCCTCATTGTAAAACCGGCAATATTGCTTAAAAAAAATCATCATGAGAATTGAATGAGTGTATGGAAGTTCCCAGACGCTGGCTTCCAGCCGGGGGTACTTTATCTGGAGGACTCTCTTCGGCGCTGCAGGCAGATGAGCAGAGGAAATGGAGGTCTCAGACTCAGAGGGTATGGAGATGGCGGCCTCTCTACCTCCCCTGTGGGTGTTTGGGCTTTGAGAAAGCAGAGACCTCCGTACCTGTTATGATAAGACCTGGTACATTCGGAAAGCCCAGACCTCCTTTCCTGGGCCCGTCTAAAGCAACCACCTTATCCTACATGTTCCTGGTGTCAGTGCTGAAAGTCCCTCAACCCCAGAAACCCCTCACTCCCAGGCAAACTGGGGGTGGGGGGTTGTTGGTCACCCCAGCCTGGTCCCTGCCATCCCACTGGCTTTAAGACACAGCAGCCTGGAGCCAGGCCACAGCTGAGCAGGCATCAGCCCATCTAACAGAAAGAAAATCTGAGGCTCAGCCAGGCACGGTGCCTCGAGCTTGTACTCCTAGCACTTTGGGAGGCCAAGGCAGGAGGATGACTTGAAGGCAGGGGTTCAAGACCAGCCTGGGCAACATACTGAGACCCATATCTACAAAAAAATTAAAAATTAGCCAGGTATGCTGGTGATGCCTGTAGTCCCAGCTACTCGGGAGGCTGAGGCCAGAGGATGGCTTGAGCCCAGGTCAAGGCTGCAGTGAGCTATGATCGCACCACTGCACTCCAGCCTGGGTGACAGAGTAAGACCCTGTCTCTAAGAAAAAAACATATTTTTTTTAATGAAAGAAAAGAAAACCCGAGGCTCTGAGAGATCTTGTCTCAGCTGAGGCCACACAGGTAGAAGGGGGAGGAGCTGAGTTTTCTCACCGTGTATGGCAGGTAGCATAATACCTCCTTAATATTTGCTACAGTAAATGTATTATACAACAATAAAAATGACATATGTGGAAGCCCCTCCCACGGAGGGATGATTTCATCCTCTCACTATCTGGTGACCTCATTCCTCCTCACCCCTGTGTTCACTGGCTCTAACGGTGCCATCACACTGATTAGCAAGCAAGGCCCGGAGCGGCGGGATCACTCCCAGGCCCCACCTTCCACCTCTCCTCTTCCTGGAAGGCCAAAAAACAGTCCCACAGAAGTGGGGCCAGGGCAGGGCTCCGACAGAGGCGTCTCCAGTGACCACGTCCTATTTGTCTCAACACTTGCCTAACAGAGTAGGTCAGAGACTGCTCGTTTGCCTCTTTCGCCCTAAAACCAGGCTGCTTCTGGCCCAGGCCCCATCTAGACCCCATATGGGCCCCATCTAGGCTGTGTGGAGGAGCAGGCTGCAGGGGGCCCAGACTCCAGCTCCAGAGAACCCGCCGTGTGGCCGCCCTGAGCTGCTCAGGAAAGATCCTCGTGGGGCTCCACGCCGCTAGGAACCTTGCACTGAGAATCCTGAAACTGGTGGTCAGAGCGGGCAGGATCTTGGAATGCTAAAATTCAAAAGACTGAGCATCTCAGGGTTTGGGTCAAGTAGTCACCAAGAGAAGGAAAGACCCCAGATAACTGAGGCACAGGCAGCAGATCTAAGTCTGGGTAGACAGGACAGGCCCTGCCCTGCCCTGCTGTGCCCTGGGAGTCACATCAAACCAGGTCAATCCCCAGCTCTGTCCCTTAGAAGCTGTGTGACCTGGGGCAACTCACCTCACCTCTCTGAGCTGTGGGTTCCTTAGCTGGAATACAAGGACAATGGTAGCACCCGCTTTTTATGGGGTTGTTGTGGGTTGAAGAGGGCCAGGGAAATGCTGAGTCCTCCCAGAAGCCTTTCCAGATTGCCCCAGGCACGATTAGTCACCTCCCGTGTTTAAATCATTTCTGCTGTTCATTTATTTTCTAAAAATGTATTCACATTGACTCCTAAACTTCCAGAAGGCAGGAACCACAGCTGTCTTGCTGATCAGGCCACAGGCCCAGGATTCAGCCGATGGGCAGGCACACACCCCTCGCAACACTCGCCCCAGTGGCTGGCAACCACTGTGGCTGTCTGCTCTGCTGCCCCCACCAGACCACAAGTTTTTGGAGGGCAGGAGCTCTCCTGGGTCTCCTGGCATCCCCAGGGGCCTCACTAAATGCCTCTGCAGAAGAGGACATGTGACTGAGGCAGGGGAACGTGCACAGAACTGCACAGCACGTGCTGTCTTCACACTTTTCACACCACATTTGCCAGCTGACACTTTGCAACCTCTTTCCGTCATCTACCTCAACTCACATCAGGGAGTCTCTGTAGACATTTTTTCCCACTTATCATCGCCCTTATGAAAGGTTTATTTATTTATTTAATTTTAGAGATAGGGTCTTTCTCTGTTGCCCAGGCTCGACTACAGTGGTGCAATCATAGCTCACTGCAGGCTTGAACTCCTGGGCTCAAGCGATCCTCCCAAGTAGCTAGGACTACAGGTGCATGCCACCAGACCCGGCTACTTTTAAATTTTTTGTAGAGATGGGTTTTCCCCATGTTGCCCAGGTTGGTCTCAAACTCCTGGGCTCAAGCAATCCATCTGCTTCAGCCTCCCAAAGTGCTGGGATTTATAGGCATGAGCCACGGTGACCAGCCCTCCTCATGAAAAGTTAATAGCACAGATATGCTGTATATCTGTTTAATGTTTGGTGGCTTGCAAACCACAGTGTTAGTTGAGATTTTTTTGTTACACCCCCCTCCCTACCCTCCACCCCACCAAGAACCAAGTTACACCTGTTGGAACCCAAACTTGCTGGCCTGATCCAGAGGCAGTAAGGTACTTGGCACAAATGAATTCAATGAGACCTACATCTGGTTAGTTGAACAACTGTCTTTAAACAGTTTTCTAAACACCCCTGTGTAGACAGACAGATTAACAAACACAGACCCCCAACACACACACACCAGCCATCTTATCTCCTTCTAGACCACTGGCCCCCACTGCCATCTTCCTGTTCAAGTTCAGCAAAGGAAGCCGAGACACAGGCCTAGGGTCACCACGAACTCCATGGGCATCCTGCAGCCAGAAGCCATGCCGCCAGAGGCAGCTGCTTCTCCCCTTCAAGCCTCAGTTTTCTCATCTGTAAAAGGGGCACTGTCCACCCTCCAAGGTTCTCGGATGATTGATTCCCCAGCTCCTCTGAATGCCCCACTCTGGGCCCAGCCTAGCAACCCAGCCCTTCCGCTCTCTGAGGTTTAACTCCCCTGGCTGCTGGCCAAGCCTGCTGAGGGAGGCATCAACCACCCAGGGCACGGCCTCGGAAGAGACTCTGGGGCTGTCTGAGGGCCTGGGAGCCACCTTCTGAGGCCCCGGCCCACTGAGGGGCCTGGCTCTGGGGGCCTCAAAGTCAGAGATGGAAAAAAAAGGAAAACAGAAGAAAGAGGAAAGAGGAAGAGAATTCCAGGCAACAGAAGCCCAGATATCGACAATATGGGGTGTGTGTGTGTGTGTGTGTGTGTGTGTGTGTGTGTGTGAATGTGTGTACAGCAGGGCACAACTGGCCCCCACCATTTCCTTTTAGTGTCCTGAAAGTATCTCAAATACAAACTAATAAGAGTATTCTAATTTTTTTTTTTTTGAGACAGGGTCTCACTCTGCCACCCGGGTTGGAGTGCAGTGGCACAATCTCGGCTTACTGCGACCTCCCCCTCCCAGGTTCAAGTGATCCTCCCACCTCAGCCTCCCAAGTAGCTGAGACCACAGGCATACACCACTACACCTAGCTAAGTTTTTGTATTTTTGGTAGAGACGAGGTTTCACCATGTTGCCCAGGTTGGTCTAGAACTCCTGAGCTCAGGCCAACCACCTGCCTCGGCCTCCCAAAGGGCTGGGATTACAGGTGTAAGCCACTGCACCCAGCCAAATATTCTAATTATTATTATTATTATTGTTTTCCCTTTTGCTAACAATAGTATCTTAATTCTAATATTTTAATAGTTTGCCACAGACAAGTGTCATTTCCTCAGTCTTATAAAAAGTGGGAAGAATGCATCTTTCTCTGAAAAGAACTTTTTTATGCGTCCATAACATGCAGCTTCAAGAGAAATCCTGCACTCCCCCTACTTTCTGGAGTCTTCCAGACCTAATCTCAGCTCTGCCCCTAAACAAATCCCTTCACCTCTCCCGACCTCAGTTTCCCATCCAGGAAAGGAGAGGATAAGATCATTTCTAGGGAAACACTCATGGTTTCTCTGATTTTCAAAATCAGAATGCCGCCAAGCCAGACGCTGCAGGCAAACTGGCCAGGGAGGGAAGTAAGTTAATGGGAGGCTGGGGCTGGTGGGTCACACCTGTAATTTCAGCACTTTGGGAGGCCAACGCAAGAGGCTTGAGGCCAGGAGTTTGAGACCAGCCTCGGCATCAAAGTGAGACCCCATCTCTAGGAAAGGTAAAAATATTAGCTGCATGCGGCGATGTGCGCCTGTAGTCCCAGCTACTCAGGAGGCTGAGGTGGGAGGATCACTTGTGCCCAGGAGTTTAAGGCTGCAGTGAGCCATGATTGTGCCACTGCACTCCAGCCTGGGTGACAGAGTAAGACCCTGTCTCAAAAAAAGAAGGAAAAAAAAAGTTGGCAGGAGCAGGATTCAGAAGAGTCACAGAATAAGGCCACAGACTCCAGGAAGACTTTAGTCTTGAGTCGGAGGAGCCTCAGTTTGCCCTCCCCAGGTGCTGCAGCTCAAGAAGGGCCTGGCGGTCCTACCCGGGCCTGCCAGCAGCTATAAGGCAGGCCCTTGGCCCATGGGGACCTCCAGCCACTCCCTGTGGTTTTGCAAGCCAGCACTTACCACCGTGCTCAGCAGAGCATGGGACAGCTGCCTCGTGGGCCCAGAAGAAGTGGCTTCTCTGCTTTAGTGACAAGGTCCCAGCCCACGCTGCCAGGCACTGCTGTGGCACCCCCTGCGGCAGTCCCGGATCCGAGCAACCCCCAATGGCTGTGTGTGGAAGGAGGAAGCGAGAATGTGGTTACTTAGGCAGGGCCATGTGACAGCCCACACCCCATTGTTTGTGACAGCTTTGGTGACAACATTGATAAAGACAGGGTGGTAGTGGGGCACCTCCTAGGTCTGACACTGTTCTTGGGTTCCCATAACTGTGAAAACACTGAGAACCAAGTAGAAGCTTTCTGGGGAGAAGTTCTTCGGTTTTGGGTGGGGCCCAAACTGAGAAAGGCCACAGCATTACTTCAGCAGCAATGGACAGTCGGGGCCAGAGGGAGCCCCCTGAAGGACAGGAGTGACCAGAGAAAAAGGAGAATGGTCTCGCTTCTTGCCCAAGATTGGTGGGGCGTGGGGAGGGGTGGGAGGTGGTCAGGGAGCAAAAAACACAAAATATGAACCTTCAAAGGGTTTGCAAATATGGTGTATTTCTTCTCGCAGGACTCAAAACACTCTCTGTAGATGCACAGCACAGGCCCTTTCAGCTGCAACCAAGAGCCTCTCTAGGGAGCTGGACTACAGATACCACAAGGGCAAGTCCTGCTTATCTTATTTCTTCATCCTAAATTTGTTCATTTGACCAACTCTGGCACTCCAGACTGCATGCCCTGAGGTCTAAAGGCCAGCAATTCTGGGCTGTGGCCCTCTGGTAGCCCTCCATCCAATGGGGAGGCCAGCGAGTAAACAATTCGGTGGAACATCATGCCACAATGACACAGCGCAGTGAGTGCCATCCTGCGGTGAGCAAGGGAGGGGCCTCTCCTTCCATCCTGGGTGGGGGAGGGAGGTTAACAGGAGGAGCTTCCAAGAAGTGGCACTTGAGATGACAAGCCAGGTGGGCATCCCAGGCAGAGAGCACAGCAGAGGCAAAGGCTGGGAGGCCTAAGAATACCCAGACACTTCCAGAAGGGAGGGAATAGGGGGGTCTCCCAGGATCTGCCCTGCGGCTTTGCACCAGGCAAGGGCTCAGGACATGCACAGAAAGATACTCATATCTTGCCTTGCACAAAGTTGTTTTTTTTTTTTTTTTTTGAGATGGAGTTTCACTCTTTTTGCCCAGGCTGGAGTGCAATGGCACAATCTCGGCTCACCGCAACCTCCGCCTCCCGGGTTCAAGCTATTCTTCTGCCTCAGCCTCCCGAGTATCTGGGATTACAGGCATGTGCCACCACCCCGGCTAATTTTGTATTTATAGTAGAGATGGGGTTTCTCCACGTTTGTCAGGCTGGTTGGTCTTGAACTCTCGACCTCAGGTGATCCACCTGCCTCGGCCTCCCAAAGTGCTGGGATTACAGGCGTGAGCCACCGTGCCCAGCCGCACACAGGTTGTTTTAAAATGAAAACCAGAGACCCAGCAGGTGTTCGCCATGACACAGTCTCAGCCACCTTAAGAAGCTGCAGCTGGAAACAGCCAAAAGCTCACCCTGCCGGCACGGACAGGGAAACTGAAGCCACAAGAGGGGAAGTGAGACCCCTAGAACCCAGGCCCCTCACCCTTCCCCAGCAGGTTTGGAAATAGCCATCCTTCAGGGACAGGGGACTGAGAAACTCTAAACACACCCAAGACTGCCTGCAGGTCACTCTCTGATTAGCGGAGGTGAGTGGTTGCAAGCTGTCTGTCACATCCAGCCTGCCACGTGGTTTTGTGCAGCTTGTGAGCTAAGAATGGTGGTTACATTTTTAAGTGGTTGGAAAATGTTTTGTGATGCATAAAAACTGTGCGAAATTCGAGATTCCGTTTTCATAAAGTTTTCTTGGGACACAGCCACACTAATTGGTGTAAACATATTGTCTCTGGCTGCTTTCACGTTGCAGCGGCAGAGTTGAATAGTTTCATCACCTGCAAAGCCTCACAACACAAACGCTTAACGTTTCCTGAGCCTGTGGTCAATGCCAGACCCTGTGGTAGGTGCTTTGCATACATCAGCTCATATAATCCTCGAAGCTGCCTTTAGAAATGAGGAAACTGAAGCTGAGAGGGAGAATGTGCCTTGCTCAAGGGCACACAGAGTAATGGCAGAGCCAGGACTCAAGTCCAGGCACATGAAATAATGTTCTTGATCTTAACCCCTAGCCTGGGATGGTGCAGGCTGAACGGTGAGCTCCAGCACATCAGCAATTACTATATGTAAGGAAAAAGGAGTAGCTTAGCAGCAGGTAAGCTATTTCTTCTGTGTGTGTGTAATAGGGTCTTGCTCTGTGGCCTAATCTGGAGTGCAGTGGCGTGGTCATAGCTCACTGCAGCCTCAAACTCCTGGTCTCAAGCAAGCAATCCTCCTGCCTCAGCCTCCCCAGTAGCTGTTACAGGAGCACACCACCACGCCCAGCTCCAAGTAATCTATTTCAAGGTGAGACTTGAGCAGTGAAATTTCCTTCTCAGAGGAGCAAATATTGCTAAGATAAATCTGGTGTATGTCGTCTGTGTGAAGACCATAAAACCACACTTCACCGCACCTGACATCTGTGAGAGTCAAAGACTCAAAGTGAATATGTTTCTGCTTCTAGGAATGAAGCCCAAGAAAAATACTCCAAGTTGCCTTCCAAGATTGAAGCAATGATATCTGAGGTGAGAGAAATATTGGGAAAAAACACAGACTCCCCTACTACAGAAACCTGTCCCTTGATGGAATGTGACGCAGGCATGAAAGTTATATTTATACTGAATGCTTATAAAGCACTCAAGACCTGTTAGGTAGAAAAGAGAGGGCACAGAAGTATATAAACAGCATAATTCAAGTGTGCTTGCATGCTGAGAGGACAGACTGAAAGAAATGCTGACGGTGCCTATCTCTGGGTGGCATAATTATTAATGCCCCTTTCCTTTTAAATATATTTTCTTTTCTATATTTGTATATAGAAAAAATGTATATAATGATGTCTATTTTACTTTTTTTTCTTTTTTTTTTTTTTTTTTTTTTTTTTTTTGAGACAGAGTCTCACTCTGTCGCCCAGGCTGGAGTGCAGTGGCACGATCTCAGCTCACTGAAACCTCTGCCTCCTGGGTTCAAGTGATTCTCCTGCCTCGGCCTTCCTAGTAGCTGAGATTACAGGTGCTCACTACCATGGCCTGCTAGTTTTTGTATTTTTAGTAGAGACGGGGTTTTGCCATGTTGGCCAGGCTAGTCTCAAGCTCCTGGCCTCAAGTGATCCACCGGCCTCCACCTCCCAAGGTGCTGGGATTACAGGCATGAGCCATCATGCCTGGTCTACTACTTTGTTTAATTGTTACAACTGCCTCATGAGGTAGGTACTATTAGTATCCCCATTTTGTAGATTAAAAAAAATGTTCCAGAGAGGTTAAGAAACTCGCCTAAGGTCACAGAGCTAGTAAGTGGCAAAGCCAGAGTCTGAACCTAGGGTGTCCTATGAAAGAGCCTGCATTCAATCACAATAAATATTGGTTCAATATATAAGTGATTCCAGCTCCTCCTTGCAGACCTTGCCTGCTGTGATTGGTCTAAGAGGACCCAGTTCTCCCCACCTCCTCGCAACACCGTGTGAGCCTGCTTGGGGTGTGGAGCAGGAATTGCAATCAGCAAAGCCAGTGGGTGTTAGGTTCCTCTCTACACTGGAGCCCAGTAGTGGGCTAGCCTAGGAAGCAAGAGCTGTTTATGGGTCTTCTGAGAAAAATGTGCTCCTGGTTGTAACTAACTGCCTGCTACTGTTGGAACAGCCCCATGTTAAAGCAAAAACATGGCTCATTGGGCCCCTACTTGGAGCTCTCTTACAAGTGGATCCTGAGCAACTAGAGATTTGGTATTCAAACAAACAACCTATAACCTCTTTATACTTAAATGATCATCCGTGCACTAAATTCAGTCTTCCTTCCATTCGCTGATGGATGAAAATGCCTGCAGCCTCATGGTGGTCCCCAGTCCCCAGAGGCAACACCACAGCCTGTACAGCTGCATGTGTGCAGTGGTCTATTTAATTGCGTTTTGCTTCTTTGTTGTTTCGGGGTGGGGAACTGTTCCCACCAGTGACAAGCACAGCTGTAATAAAGCCTCATATTATAGAGACAAAGAGAGGAAGGCTTGGAGGCTTGGGTGCCAAAAGCCAGCGCAACTTAGCTTCAGCCTGGTATTTACCAAGCTTAGGTTGGTCAACAGTACAGTTATTAAAGAAAATGAAAAATTAAACATTTGTGGAATCCTGAACATATGTGGCTAGGCAAGGACTATAACTGACAGGCCAGGTATAGCCTGAGATTTTATAATCTATGTGTAACTTGTCAGGAACTGTTATCCCTCCCCGACCAGGTGCTGGCTTCCTATGCAAACCTGTGTCCGCTTCCCTAAAAATGGGGAAAACAGGGGTGACGTCGCTTATAGAATCCCACCTCCCTTGCCAGTGGTCACTGTCCCTCCAAGGAAACTGAGGCTCCCTGGTGGCGCAGGAGGGCACAGGCGGACCGGAGCCCAGCCAGACTGCAAAGCCCATTAAAAGCCTGTTCCTTCCTCCGAGGAAAGCAAGAGTCTTGCTGGTTGTGCCGCTTGTTTCTCAGGGCAGTGGTCTTTTCAGTTTACTCACAATGGGACCTTTTGTTCGAATGAAAGCAACGGTCTCATGAAATAGAATAAGAACAGAGCTGCTCGCAAGCAAGGCCCAGAAGGGAGGAGGGGAAGTCACGCCCAGCTGCCTGCCCTCCCCCGTTCCCCTGCTGCTAGGGGGGCTCACGGGCTACAGCTTGCTGATTTGAATCATCCAAAGGGGAAATGGTCCACTGTGGGCCTGCTCCAGCCAGGATTCAATTCCCTTTCTCAAATGGGAACAGAGCTCTGGGGAGTTCACTTTCGGCCCCAGATTTTCGCTGCCAATCTGGGCGGCACTAGGAACCAGTTTCTGGGCTGGAGACTGCAGCATGAAGCCATTCCTCCAGAGTGGAAGAAAACAGGGGCTCCCCAGCTCACTGGGTCTGCTTGGGCTGGGGGTAGCCAGCGCTGCTGGTCCCAGACCTGGAAGGCCAGAGGGCAAACAAATGTTAGAAATGTACTCCAGACTCCGTGATTCTTCCCCAGAGGGTAGTGGCTGAAGGAATCCATGCCTCTGGCAGACATCCTCAATCACCTGGCCTCAAAGACCCCTGGGAAGGGGTCTTTAGGGGAGAGACCTTGGTGTTGTTTGAGGAGGCCAGGGGCCTGGCAATAGGAGTCCTGGGATATTTTGTGGAATTTAAGATCAGAAATAAAGCTGGACCTTAGGCATGGACTCGGGGAGCTACAGGGACCCAGAAGCCCTTTCTTCATCACTGTGTATCTGCTCTGCCTGCGTGGTCCCTGGCTTCCCCAACTCCCAGGCCCCCATAAAGGAAAACCCAGATCTGATGCCACTGATGGTGGCTCCAAGGGGCTCATAGGTCACCTGGAGTTGACTGTGCTCCGGGACAGTCTTATTCTGTGAGCAAAGTACCGCTGGGCGGATAATGCAATATGTGCTCCCATCCCAGATAATGTCTACATTTTCAACTATTCAGTCTTTCAGTAAGTACTGATTGGCACATCATGCCAGATTCTGGGGATCCTGGTGAAGGAAACCAGTGCCTGTCCTCATGCGGCTTATATTCAATTCAGGGAAGACACTCAAAACTCCAATGAGATGATAGATCAGCTATCAGTGCTACTAAGGTGCTACGGGCACTATTTACATATGGGGGTCAGGTGAAGTGCTGGGAAGGGCAGACACTGGAGGTGGGGAAAGGATGGGCACTCCCGAGAGAACAGCACCTGCGAAGCTCAGGGGTAGAAGGCCTCCTGAACACAAGAGAACATCAGGAGAGGATGAGGGGCGGCAGGGCAGGCAACACGGGGCCTCCTAAGCCAGTGGTGAGGATTTAGTTTTTATTCTGAGTGGGATGGGAAACCATGGAGGGTTTGAAGCCTTAGACACAGGGGTCAATGAGCTTTTTCTTAAAGGGCTACACAGTAAATATTTTAGGCTTTGTGGCCATACGATCTCTGTTGCAGCTACTCAACTCTTCAAGTATAGAGCAAAAGCAGCCACAGACAAGGCACAGTGTGTTCCAATAAGCTTTACTGATGGACACTGAAATTTGAATTTCATATCATTTTTACTTGTCACTAAATATTGTTTTTTCCCCCAACCATTTAAAAATGTAAAAAGCCTTCTTAGCTTGTGGGCTACACAGAAGCTTCCGGCAGGTTGGAGTTAGCCCATGGGCCTTAGCATGTCTTCCCCCACCTTGATACCTGAAAAGGTGACTATGGCTGCAGCTCTGAGAACAGATTCAAGTGGGTGGGGGAAGCTGGGTTAGGAAGCTGTGACTGTTAACCTTGTCAACTTGACTGGGCAATGGCGTGCCCAAATATCTGGTCACGCGTTACCCTGGGTGTGTCTGTGAGGGTTTTCTGGATGAAATGAACATTTGAATCTGTGGGTTGAGTAAAGCAGGTTGCTCTCTCTGGTGTGGGTGGGTGGATCCATTCAGTTGAGGGCCTGAATAGAACAAAAAGGCTGAGTAATAAGGAATTCCTTGCAGGCGTGTGGCTCATGCCTGTAATTCTAGCACTTTGGGAGGCCGAGGTGGGAGGATCACCTGAGGTCAGGAGTTTAAGACCAGCCTGGCCAACATGGGGAAACCCCATCTCTACTAAAAATACAAAAATTAGCCAGGCGTGGTGGCGCATGCCTGTAGTCCCAGCTACTTGGGAGGCTGAGGCAGGAGAACTGCTTGAACCCAGGGGGTGGAGGCTGCAGTTAGCCAAGATCGTGCCACTGCATTCCAGCCTGGGCGACAGAGTGAGAGACTCCATCTCAAAAAAAAAAAAAAAAAAAAAAAGGAATTACTCCTGCCTGCCTTCAAGCTGGGACATCAGTTTTTAGCTGCTTTCCAATCTGAACTGAAAAACTCAGCTCTCCTGGGTCTCTCTGGTTTGTTGACTGCAGATCTTGGAGCTTAGCAGCCTCCATAATCATGAGTCAATTCCTTAAATACATCCCGATCTCTCTCTCTCTTCCCCCACGCAGACCCTATTGGTTCTCTTCTTCTGGAGAACGCTAATAGAGAGGCTCTGTCCACGCAGAAATGATGGGAGCACAGGCTGGGGGAGTCACCGGGCAGGTGTGAGAAGTAGCTGGGATATGGATGCACTGTGAAACCAGAGCCTGGGTGTGGGATACGCAAGAAGAGATGGGAGTCAAGGAGGCTCAGAGGTGGAAGAGCATGAACTTCCTCCTGTAGACAAAAGGGATAATCACTTGTGTCTCCTTCAGAGACCTTGACAGAAAACATCACTCTAGAAGCAAAACAGGGAACAGGCGGTTGGAGGCAGAGAAACCAGCTACAAGGCTGTTCGGACACTAGACTGTTATCTACATGGGGAGGCACCTGGCAGGTGGCCAGATCCCCAGATGGAATCTCCACCTTGTGGTTTATGAGGCATTCTAGGCCACTGCCTCCTGAAGACACTGCTCAGGGTGGTAAGAACTCATTTTGCATTTGGGGAGCTGTAGGTGGGGATGGTGATAAGCAGCCCAGGATTTTGTTCGCCAAGAGGTATTATTCCAACTTCCACAACCCAAATAGCATCTCTGCACGGAAATGAAGCTGCAACAGCTCCCTGTCATGGATGGGGCACTTCCCAGTTCTCAGACTTCATCACTAGAGCCCCCAAGCTTGGATGTTGTTGCTGAACTCCCTCAAGGCACTAAGTGTTAGCCTGAGCACCTCTCCTGGCTGGACCAGGGGTCACTTGCTCCATTACAGTTCTCTCCAGCTCGGTGACACTCTCACTGTAAATGCAAGTTCTCACTCAGTGAATGCCAAGACGAATGCAACCCTACCTAGTGGGGTAGAGATTAGGAAATGGGCGATGAGAGGCACAGGGCTCTTGGGAAGGGAGCCCTGCTGCTGGGGGCCTGAGAGACACCCAGTGGAGAGGAGCCTGGACAAACTTGGCAACCAGCCCCAACCACGTTCCGCAGCATTTTGGGGGCCAGGCACCCTGTGTGTGATCCCTTTCCACTGTAACCAGGCCTGCTCCCTGCTCTTCCCCTCGGAGACACAGATGACTGCTCCTCTCTGGCAGCCCAAAGCTTTCTCTGCCCCCACAACTGCCTGGGGGCCTTTGAGCCACTTCTCCCCAGTTCTGTTCCAAACCCACCAGGAAGTCCTTCCCCAAAAGTCCACTTACTCTTTGAGATCAGTGTGAGGAAGCTACTCTAAGAACAAAACTAAGCACCCGGTGGTGAGTGCCCAAGCTCAAGTGTGCAGATTTTTTCTGACAGCAGAATAGACCTGTCTACTTGCCTTCCAAGTTGAGTCCTGAAGTGGGTAACTTCCTCCTCTGACTTCTGCCCTCAGGCTCCCTGGGCAACGGCCCTGACGTTGCTTTCTAGCCCCTCACCATGAAGCCTGTCAGGGAGCCGCGTGCCTCACCCTCTATCTGCCCCTCACTAAACTCAGGATCCTAAAATCTGCCCTCTTACCCATTTTCGTTCACATGAATTAAACTCCAACTACAATGAATTTGAAGGATCCCATCTGCCTCTCTAAACTCACCCCCCTCCACATTTCAGCCAATCCAACCAACTCAGCAGTCACCTTATCCTCAAGGATCTTGGGATGCGCAGTAATTCCCATCTCCCACCCAGCCCTCCTGACACTCGCCACAGGGGAACTTTCAGCCGGCACACCACGGCCAGTGTCGCCTAGCGAACACACCCCCCCCCACCCCACACCCCAAAGTTCGAAGTTGAGAATAAGCCATTTGCTGGTGGACTCGGTTCCCACAGGAGGGATGAGGACAGCTGCCATCTGCACATCAGCTGCCTAGGACTTAACATTTCACACGTCACGTTTCAAATAGAGGCAGCAGCTGCAGCTGAGATGAAGCATATCAAAGTATACTTAGCCCTTACTATATTGGAAGAAAACGTATTTCCCAGTTCCGATGACCTTTGTTTTCTGCCATATTAAAGTCTTACGTAATTTAATTTTTATATAGCCAATCTGTCTTTTCCTTTGTGATGTATTCCATTGCTTTAGGGCTTACATTTTTTCTAGTCTGAAGTGTAGATTAAAAGGGACTTACTTTCTTCTAAATAGAAAAAGAAAAGGTTTTATTTTAACTGTGGACTCCATTAAGAATGTATATTGGTGTCCCTGCTGCCCCCACAGCTAACCAAATGTTGCTGCACCATTTCAAACATCTCCACTGATTTATGCTTATCTTAATAATTATTAACTTATCACTAATACATTAATTTTAATAATGCCTTTCTGGGAATAAATACATTTATAGGAAATTTCTAAATTCAGAAAAATAGGATTAAATAGAAATTACACACAACTTTACCTCCCTATAGCAATAACAACATTTCTGGTATTTATTCTACACATAAGTATACATTGTATATGCATATATCCTTTAAAAAGTTTGTCACAAGCCATCTGTTCGGGGTTGGTTTTACATATCTGTATTAGGAAACCTACACCTCTCACTAGAAGTTCTGGTCCTGAATGTTCTTATGAGGTCCAATGGACTTCACTTTCTTCCCCATTTTACTTCTGAATGGATTAGCCAACTAACATCATTTACTGCAGAGTGACTCCATGGGGTAGAGAGCTGATGAGAATTACTTTGTAAACACACTTTTTATGCTGACATCAGCAACACAGTTCACTGTAGGGCTCTTGGCATACACAGAAAAAAGTTGGTAGTGACATCCAGCACCCAGAAATAATATACTTTCATGTTTCAACCTAGGTAGGTATATATTTTAAACCCAAGTTGGAATTGACTTTATTTTACTATTTTTTTAATGTTTCCTATTCAATACTCTTTTTAAATGACTTTAAATAATGGAACAGAATTATAACATATGGATATGACAAGTAACTTACTGACCCCCTTCTGCAGAGTTGATTTTACTCTTCTAATTCCTGAATATACCTCCCACTAGTTCCCTGGGACAAAATTTCCAAAGGTGAGAATCTTGGGTCTTAAGAAAACCTTTAAGGCTTTTGATCCACTTGCCAGACTGCCCTCTGGAAAGGCTGTCCACCCCGCACATACCCGCTTTTCGCAGGAGAGGACTGCCACCCCTACATTCTTTGGCAAGGGACTTCTTTTTAACGAATAAAAGAGCACAAAGGGCACTGTCCGGCCTGGACATCAAGGGTTGCCCGTCTGAAGCAGGAAAGGCGTGCCCTTGACGGTGACTCATGTCCGTGACCCACTGCCAGCACTGGGATACTTAATGTGCCCGCAGAAAGAGAAGGGCCCACTTAGAGTTAACAGATTCTTAAGAGCCAACAAAGAGTTTTTCTGGGTGTAGAATACCAAGTACAGCAAGGGAAGTGACCTTGAAAAAAAAAATGGAAGTTCCCCCCAGACGAGGTCTGGCTGGCTGTCTGGGGCCAGCATGCTGACCTTCAGGTCTTCTGGCAAAGAATCAAGGTGGCCCGAGTGAGAAAACAAGTTAGTCATAAACAGACCACCACGCGTCTCCTGGCTGACTGCGGGCACCTCGGGTCTACAGAGAGCCCTGCCAACTTCTACTTCCTGCAGCCACGAGTGGACCAAGAACATGGCAGCCATTCTTCTCATAGACTAAAGCAACTTTAAGATAAGGCATTTGAGGAAGGGGAGCTTTATGCTGACCATTCATCATATTCAGAAAAAGCAAACAGTGGGAAATTCTTTGCTACAATCACTGAAATGTCACGAGACAATGTCATAGTGCGAAAGGGAAGCCCTGCAATTCAACTGACCCTGGAAGCCTGCTGGAATAAAAGTCACAGCTGAGCCAAGAGAATTTTGCTTCTATTGAAGAAAAAGTGCTTTCAAAGACTCTGTCAGAAAATCAACTCATAATAGTAACAGTAGCGGCCATGCAGCGAGGGTTGTTTGTGTGGCCACACAGGTATTCCTCTCATCTGAACTACATGGAATTATCATCCTCCTTTCAAGAAAAGGGACTCAGAAGGATTAGGAACCCCATCCCAGGACACACCGCTGGCAAAGGTCTGAGGCAGGATCCAAAGGCTCAGGTCTGCTGGAAGCCAAAACACAGTGCTTGACTGGCTTGGAGACCTCACTTGTACTTGAACTGAGCCACCCACACGCGCTTCCCCTGTACTTACCCCCGGAGAGGAGTATGGCACCGTGCTCGTCCACCAAAGTCAGAGAAGCTATGTCAGGCAGAGAGGTGGGGGCTGCCTCACAGACAGCCAAGGCGTGAAATAAACACAAACACCATTTTGTAATCAATGATTTTTATCTCTGAAAATGGAAGCAAGTGTTTTGACAGAACACTATGGCCACTCTATAAGAGCCGACCTAGGAGTAATTCACTGTCCTCTTCTGGGATGTCATGGCTTAAAAAAAAAAAAAAAAAAAGACAAAACAGGAAAATAATCCACAATGCTTTGGGCGCCTACTCTGAGCTTGGCTGGGCATCCATTCATTAAATAAGTCATAAGCTACAAACTAAGATCAGGGTAACTTTCCCTTGCCCTCCTGCTTCTCTTTGAACCACATGCCCTACGGTGTTTCACCACCATCAACAACTTTACTTCATTAATTCGATATCAGAACCTTAAAACACTACTGAATCTTAGACAAAAGGTCCTCAGCAGATTACATTGATAAAGAAACAAATACAGATTTGAATATAAGTCATTGCCATTATTGTTTTCTTTACATCTCATGATCCACTTCAATATTAAACACATACATACACACACACAAAACCACATCAAACATTCAGATGCCCTGAAATTGTGGAGACAGCACTCCCAGTATTGGCTGGATAAGAACATGGTCCTTTTTCTACACGGACATTACTCCAAGTTCGGCTGTCACCACACTCTGCCCTCACCCTGGCTCCCTGCATACAGACGTTTCCAGCCAGTCCCATGCCCACACCAGCACGAGCATGTGCAAGAATTCCCTTCGTGGTCCCAATGGCACTACACATTTCACGTTCAATCACAGACAGCCCTTCCAAAACAGAGGCTCCTTAAATCTTGTTTCCCAAGCATGCACTATAAGAAACTGGAAACGGGGCAAAGTTCCAGCTAACCGAGGAATGAACAGGTGACCAGAGCTCAGTCTCTGGCCCCCTCCGAGTCCGGGGAGCCTCTGTGCTTTGACGCAGCCTTGGTGAGAGATGGAGAGGCAGGGCAGGTTAGTTGTGCGGAGGGACATGTTTGTATGCATTAAAGCTACAGCAGAGGTCTGTGCTCCTGTTTCTGCTTCACTCTCTATCATTCTCCTCAGTCTCAATACTCATTCAATCGCACCCTCTGGCCTTGTCTTAGCTTAATGTGGTTAGAGCTAAAAGGCAGGAAGGAAAGAAGGAATGGCTGGGGGAGCCCTGAGAGAGGTCGCAGCACATGTGAGGAAGAGGGTAGAGCAGGAGCTTTGTTGGTGGAAGGAGAGCCACTTCCTCCTCCAACACAGCATGGGGACAGCACAGGGAAACAGGATCACCCAGGGCAAATACCCCTCTCCACATGCCCACATTTTTAGTCCCCACCACTGTACTCAAGAGCTGGGCAAGCTGCTGAAAAGGGCAAGAAGGAACACTCAGCAGTACACGTCTTCCTGTCCTGGGCACCCTTGTCAAGTATTGACCAAAACCTGAAACATGATGTTTAAAGTGATGAATGCAATATGATCCTAGGTGTGTAACAAACTGCAGAAACACATGCTAGTTTGGGTTAGATTATAATCATCTGAAGCACAGGATAACCGAGAAGCAAAATTCCATTCTGGTACAAACACCCAATTTCTAGAAAAGAGAAAGGAAAAGAAGAAATACGACGTGAGCTTTTTTGATCAGAAGACTCCATGAAATGAGAGCGGTGGTAATATGAATCCACGTGATTTTTCAAGTCTTCCTGTTGTACAGTCATCAAAATGACCAGGTTTGTGCTGCAAAGGAGCCAGCACCATGTGGCTACTGCTTTGATTGTTCTCAGATGAATGTTTATACAAAATAATATCTTATCTTCATTTAGTTTATAAACATACACAGTGCTGTCCCTTTCAAATTAAGGAAAAAAAACCACACACACAAATACTGCAAAGTAGCAAAATACAAAGGAAAACAAAGCTACTTTTGGTTTTGGCAACATTAAAAAAGAAAGAAATATAAAAAGCAATGTGGCATTGGTCCCTATTCATTAAAAAAAAAAGGGTACTTGGGCACGACACAATCAGAATTAGTTTGTTTTCTAAAATTCAGAGTATCTGGGATTTTAAAAGTAGCACTTTTTAAAAAGTTCAACAAGTCACATAACACTTAAAACATCAAAAAAGCTTTCTGATAAAAAGCTCAGCTTTTAAATCACGTTTTGTTTCTGCAAATTTGGGAGACAAATTGAGTTCTTACTGGAATGTGGCCTATCGCTGGTTGACAAATCTGAAATGGAATGTCTCCAAATGGCAGTGCCTCCCTTTCCGCCCTCCCTAGGACCACACCAATAACCAGCTCCCAAGCACAAGTTCTTGCTCCCATTTTTTCTGTAGGGGTGGGGGTGGGACCTTCAGGCTGCTATCTTTGCCATCTGCTGTTCTAACTTGGAAATACGCTCATCTTGATTGCAGATTGTGTCTTTTATAGATTTGATCTCTTTTAAAATCTCATCCAACTTGGCTTCATTTTGCTAAGAAAACAAAAAAAGGAGGCAGTGATTAAAATGCAGTAAACAAAGTTCAACACTGTTCAAAACTTGTAAGATATAAAATGTAGTTTTCTATTTTGCAAACGGCAAGCCATAGTCACCAAGTTGAAAAGAGAAGTCAAAGCCCTACTATGTCTGGGGCTTTGAATGCAATGAGCACTGGCCGATCTATCTGAGATCCCGTGGCAAAACAACAGTGTGTCACAGTGTCACAGTGCCACTTCTGATCCCGAAGCCTGTGCATTTACTCAAACAAAGGGTCTCCTGGGTCACAGTTAGACTATAGGACAAAACAGGCTCCTTCAACAGTGTCCTACGTCCTAACCACCCCAATCATTCCATCAAGAGTAACTTCTATCTGACCAGAGAGAGGGGTGACTCTCCCAGAGGCTACAGAGCTCCTGCCATCTGTGAGGCTCCTTCTTGGGAGGGAAACCCTTGCCCTGTGTGTCCACTCCTTCTCTCTTACCCAGGACCTGCTCTCCCGGCAACAGCAGCACTCTCCAGTGGCCGCAGCGAGTCAAAGGCAGGCTTGATTCCCAATTCCCCACCCAAAGGGCTCTTGCCTAAATCCCCCTTGTTGCCAGCCCCACACCGCCAGATCCTTCTGTCGTAGCCACTCAGCTACATCTGAACACGTGCCACTCCCTCCTTCCAGGGACCTCCTCTCCCTGGTGCCTATGACCCCACACTCCCATGATATTTTATTTCTACCCAAATCAGAGAAGGGTTTAACTAGTTTGGCAAAAGACAGGAAAAACCCAAGAG
This sequence comes from Homo sapiens, assembly GCF_000001405.40. Taxonomy (NCBI): domain Eukaryota; kingdom Metazoa; phylum Chordata; class Mammalia; order Primates; family Hominidae; genus Homo; species Homo sapiens. Next base: position 108,648,309 of record NC_000012.12, read on the forward strand.
GCTCCTGTTCACACTGAGAGATAGGAGGAAACTGATACCTATCCCAATCATGGTGGTCTGTGGCCACACTTGGCTCCTTTAATGGGGCTAAAGGAGCTTTAACTCCGTTAAAGGAGGCAAGTGTTGCCACAAACCACCACCATCACGTGACCGAGGACCTTCTCCCACTTTTTCATTTACTGAAAACCCCTGAGCACCCAGCTGGGACAGTACTCGCCGACGCCCTGGACCACAAGGGCTTTCTAGAGGATAAAGCCTGAACCAGCCAAGCACCCCTGCACTCCACTGGTCCTCACCACACTGGCCGTGTCTGTGGTTTTCTTGGGGATGCTGATCAGGTCGCACTTCTTGTTTGCAGTGGGCTTGCTATCCAGAATGTTCTTCTTGACCACCTTGAGATCCCTGTTTTTGCCTGGAATGTACCCGTGCTTCAAGGAGATGAGGATTGGGTCTGCATTCTTGCCTTCGAACCACTCTTCTGCCTCCAGCGCGGCCTCTGGCCCCGCTGTGTCAGGATACAGGTCATCTTGGAAAAGGTCAGACTACAAGAGACATTTGGCACCCGTGGGTAAGGAAGAAGAAAGGCCTGGGATTTTTGAATTTTATTTTTACATTTGTTTAAAATATGGATTGTCTAGAAAACTCAGCACTCACCTTCCTGGGAACAGTCATAATAATAGGTTCACACTTTCTCTCATGAAGTTTGAAGAATCTTCAGAGGGGAAATAAAGGCAAAGTTGCATTAAGTGAAATATGAGGCTGACTAACAGGATGAATAATTAGTTTTCTACAATGCTGTCTGAAATGTCAAGTGCTTCTTTACCCATCCCCACATCTGATCCACCCCGGGAATAGGCAGAATTTAGTGTTCCCGGTTGACAGATGAGAGAACGGAAGCTGAGAGTCACTATGCTAGGAACTGGCAGACTGGAGACAAGAACCATGAGTAGAGGTCTACGTATGATGATGACAAATGCCAATTATCTGGGGGACAGACCAACTGTGGTGGAAATAATAGCAACACTGAAACTGACTCACTTATGAAAAAATTACCATGTCAACCTACAGGAGAGAACACACATCTGTTAGATTGTATCTACAACGCGGGTACAAGGTCTTCTGCCAGCTTGAGGTGGTTGAACATATAAGTATAAATATGACTTTTAGAAAGCAAAAGAAAACAATCCTAGGATTATGATTTTCTCATCCTAGCAAACCACATCGTACATGACACTCAAGAAAAATGTGAAACTATCCAAAATGTGGAAAGAGAATGTAAAGCCACTTGCACTGTAATACTGGAAGAAGGGAGCAAAGAGCTCTGTAATGGGGAAGAAAGGTATAACATTTTTATTTGTATCCTACAAGAGAACTAAACAGACCAGAAATGACTTCTCTTATGATGACCCTGATAAGGTCAAGCCAATTTTCTTTTTCAGTCAAGACGGGAAACAACAAAAAAAGTCTCTAAAGCTCCTGGCAAGAGAGGTAGCCTTAGTGAGCATCCTGGCCAGATCACCAGATCAAACGGCTGGTGTGCAAGGGGGGAGTTGAATGTGGGCGTCAATGCTGCTGGGGAAATGTTTTCTGAATTCCAAGAGTTTAAGTCAGAGAAGACACAGCCACATCAAATATGCAAAACCATTTCTCCTGGAAACCTGCAGCCTTTGGCATCTGAAACTGGGCAGGAGTCCATTGAAGACAACCTGGCAGATACACTGCTCTAACGCATCAGGGGAACAAAAGCTGAGTAGAGCTCAGGGTGGTAAAGGTTTATAAAATCATCATCCTCTTTAAAAGGAAGGTTGTGTCAAATGTGCCTCTTTACTATTTCAACCAAAAACTAAAAGAGTCCCAGATAAACCAAAAACCTTTTTTTTTTTTTTTTTTTTTTTTTTGGGACTGGGTCTTGCTCCATCGCCCAGGCTGGAGTGCAGTGGCACAAGCTCATTGAGGTCTTGACCTCCTGGGCTCAAGCCAAATCCTCAGCCTCTGGAATAACTGGGACCACAGGTACGTACTACCACACCTGGCTAATTTTTTTAATGTTTTGTAGAGACAGGGTCTCACTAGATTGTCCATACTGCTCTTGAACTCCCAGGCTCAAGTGATCCTCCCACCTTGGCCTCCCAAAGTGTTGGGATTACAGGGTGAACCACCACTCCTGGCCCAAAAACATTTTTAAAGACTGATTTAATGAAAATTCTGTGGTTAGTATAGCCAATAAAAAGACTGACTTGGCTTTGACTTCCAGCTCTACTACCAAAACCCACGAGAGTGTGACAACCTCACCAAGCCTTAAGTTCTTCATCCATAAAATGGGGATAAAAGTTACACCTACCACATATGATTGTTATGAAAAGAAAGAGGTAGCAAGTAGCATATTTAGCACAGTCCTGGCATACAATAAATGCTCAAGAAACACTTCATAAATCGGAGACATTCTGAACAACTGTGTTTATAGTCTGTCGAACTTTTAGATGACAACAAATGTGTTTCAAAATATTGGATGTAATCATAAATTTGAATTCAGTCTATTTTGAACCATATTTTGATTAGTTTGGTTTAAACCACAATTTTCAATTATCTTTAACAGCTTTCCTTCATTATTCCAACTAAAAAAAAAAAATCACATAGAGAGTTTTGGTTTGTTTGTTTTTGTTTGTTTGAGACGGAGTCTCGCTGTGTTGCCCAGGCTGGAGTGCAGTGGCACCATCTCGGCTCACTCCGCCTCCTGGGTTCAAGTGATTCTCCTGACTCTGCCTCCCAATTAGCTGGGATTACAGGCACCCACGACCACACATAGCAAATTTTTTATTTTTAGTAGAGATTAATATAAAAAAGGGGCTTATAAAAATTCTCTTCCTTTTATTTGGAAGACGTAAGTATCAATTCTTTAATTGTGAGACCAGAACAGCAAGCGTTTTAAAAGTCCACATAAACACAGTGTTACACAAATGTTTGGTACGACCTTATATGTGATGATGTAGTGCTAATTATTCTGTTGTTTGAAATGGCCAGTGGTCACTGAGTCTCAGAGGATATATTTGTTGACTAGCATGAGAAAAAAGCCTGTCCCTTAGGAAGCCTGCTAGCATTTAGAATATGAATTTTCTAAAAATCAGAAGTAGTACAGAGAGGTAGAAATTATATCATAGCTGAACTTCCTAAATCAAGCTAACCTACCGCCCCATTATAGGACCTTTGGTTTCTCTATTTTAGGACCAGTGGGGCCCCAAATACAGTTTTGACTCTGGTTCTTCCACTCATAGGGTAGGAAAACCACCCACTTTTCCATCCCCGAGCCAGGCTCTCCCTACTTGCCCACCAGGGAACGCTGACCATGGCCTCAGCTTGAAGATTAAAGATGCATGTTTCACTATTTCAGTAGGTGTGCAATACACCCCAGCTATGCTGCTTCATTGTTGCACTTCAGTTATATGGGCAGGAAATGAGGTATTAATTCCACAGTACACACAAGGATAGAAAGACTTGGGCTTCATAGAATTTCTTGTAGCTGTATTGCTCTGGTATCACCAGGCATTCAGGTGATGATAAAAAGTGAGATGTGCCGGGTGTGGTGGTGGGCGCCTGTAATCCCAGCTACTTGGAAGGCTAAGGCAGGAGAATTGCTTGAACCAGGGAGGCGGAGGTTGCAGTGAGCTGAGATCACACCACTGCACTCCTGCCTGGGCAACAGAGCCAGACTCCGTCTCAAAAAAAAAAAAGTGAGATTTTTTTCTTTTCTTTTTTTTTTTTTTTTGAGATTTTTTTCTAATGAAGAAACTCAGTTTTAGTGATATCCTTAGAAAGTGCCATCTCATGGCAATGTGTACAATTCTACTACTTTCTTGCTCAGAATGGTCAGATATTTTTGAGATCTGAAGTATATGCTAGTCCAAGTACAAATAATTGTCACACAGTTACACCAACCTAGAATACTTGACAATCTCGATTCTTTACCTGGCAATCTCACATTTGTTAACATCAAGTCCCCTCTTGGGCATGTAACCCATCCCTCTCTGAGGCTCCTTGCTGCTGAATGTGTTGAGGTAGTGGACGTACGGGGATTCATCCGTGATCTCAAAATAGCGAATACTGCTGTCACCCTGTAAGAAACCAGAGACAAGTCTGTGTCTGATTGTTAACTGAAACATCTGGATTATGGGGGTGTCTCTCTCCTCTACAAACCCAGCAGTAGTTGGGACCCCGCTTCAGTAGCTGACCTTTTCTTCCTCATAAAGAGGCTTGCCTAAAGCATATAAAAGTTTCTTTTCCTCACAAAGTAACCCCTTACTTATCAAATGCTAGCATGCCTTTTAAGTGGTCTCCTCAGCCTCCTGGCTCCTGGCTCTAATTTTACTCCCCTGAGCCTAGGCACCAGGCCAGGGTTAGGGCAAAAATGTTAATGCCTCTGCCAAACAGCTACATTGCAATTCAACTGTGAAAAACAAACAAACAAACAAAGACTAAGAGGACTGCTGAGAATGCAATTATTGATTTAAGTATTCATTTACTGGCATAACGCAATGCTGTTATGCCAGTATGATGATAAAAAGTGAGATTTTTCTAATGAAGAAACTCAGTTTTAGTGAGTATCCTCAGAAAGTGCCATCTCATGGCAATGTGTACAATTCTACTACTTTCTTGCTTAGAATAGTCAGATATCTTTGAGTACTGAAGCATATGTTAGTCTAAGTACAAATAATTGTCACACAGTTACACCAACCTGAACAATGACGGCAATCTTGTCTGGCAGAGAGGAGATATACATATATGTAAGAAAGAAGAAGGCAAAAATAGCTAGGTGGTATCATGCCTCAACAGTGCTCCCAGTTCTCATGATTTCCATTTGTCTCAATGACTGAGATATCTAAAGCAATGGAAAAGAAGCTAAACCCTTACTAGTCATTTCTGCATGCCCAAAAGAATTTTCCATCTCATGTTACTAATATCTGAGTAACTGCTCATTTTGTTTGTTTTAATTCAGTCAAGGGCAACAACAGCAAGGTAAATGCACTTAACACCTGTTAACATCTGCAGTAAAATGGCTTTCAAGGAAACAGACAAGATCTCCATTTCTAAAACAATGACCTATAAAAATGTAAAGCAGGTCTGCAGCATGCTCAATCAGCTATGAAAAGCAAACACCAGCTTTACCACCCAGTGAAGGGCTATCTAACAGGTCTAGGGACTACCTCAACAGCTCCACTGTTATTAATTCATTTATTTCAACTACAAAAAGTTCTAAGGGAAATTGAGCCTACAAGAAAAAAAAGGGAACTATAAGGTTCCCACTTACAAAAATGAAATAATAAAGCTACCCACAGTCTAGGTATGCTGAGCTCATAAGGCAGGAGGAAGGTTTTTGGAGTTCAGTGTGGAGTCTCCCTATAACTGTTATCACCCCTGAGCTTTAGTCAGGCCTCATATCTTCAAGCCCAGAGCCCTAGCACTGAACCCCAGGAACAAGAACCCTCTGGAGAGTCTCTGAGGCCCTCAAAAGTTTGCATCCACAAAGCACCATTCTCCTTCCAAGTCCATGGTGTGTGGTACTAAGTATACACATGCTCATCTAGGGTTATCCAACAAATTTCAGCATTAGATGTGGCCAACTGGTTGCCCATCCCTGACATAAGTACAGATAAATCTAAAATCACCAATCAGGTAGCACTGCTAGGTGAAGATGAAACACCAGTGTATCTTCTTTTTTTCACAAGAGCGCCCTGATTGGAGCATTTTCCCCAATACCCCAGCCCAACCTCTGCTTCAGTCAAAAGTATGCAACATGGCGTGTTATCACTGCACAACTGGCAAGCTGCACACAGTCCAGTCTCAAGACCTAAAAATACCAAATTATCTGTCCTTGGCTTATAACATACACACACAAATTAGAAAAATTAAACAGATACAACACATTGCCCGTCCTCTAAATCTCTGAAGGATAAATGTTTCCACTTACAGGATTTAACACCAAACATCAAAATTACTGTTTACCTTTCCACATAAGTAAATGATGCTGGTGTCAGGGTCATAGAAAGGCAGCAACACCCCATTGCTAGTGTCCATCTCATGAAGAGCAATTGGTTCCTGCATATTTTTCTGGGGGGAAGATAATAATAATACATATATGTGTATGTATACATTTTTTTAAAAATAAATTTTTATAACCTTATTATATATTCTTCTATCCCAATTAAGCGAGCCATTTTCCTAGAATAACAGAAGTTTGAACTATGCACATACAATACTCATACATGGAAACAGCAACAGGGATGCTAAATGAGATCCAACTCACAAAATTTCACTGATTTGACAACATAATGCGCGCATACATCAGCGTGATTTCATGACAATGATGAGAAAGCCCTTCTCCTTTGTTACTGTTTTCTTTTTCTTTTTTTTTTTTTTAAAGACTGAGTCTCCCTCTGTCGCCCAGGCTGGAGTGCAGTAGTGCTATCTCGGCTCACTGCAATCTCCGCCTCCCAAGTTCAAGCGATTTTCCTGCCTCAGCCTGGCAAGAGCTGGGATTATAGATAGGCACATGCCACCACCCGTGGCTAATTTTTGTATTTTTAGTAGACACAGAGTTTCACCATGTTGGCCAGGCTGGTCTCCAACTCCCAGCCTCAAGTGATCCAGCCACCTCAGCCTCCCAAAGTGCTGGGATTACAGGAATGGCCACTGCGCCTACCCTATTTTATTTTTTTAAAGTACTTCTTTAATTATAAAATATGTGTGCTTTTAAAAAGTTGAAAGATATAAAAAAGAACATAAAAATCATTCCATCAAAATCCTACAGCCCAGTGGGTGACAGAAGCTATTATCATTTTGATCTATTTCCTTCCGACACATGTACACAGAGATTGAGATGATAGAATGTATGTTGTATTTTTCCCCACTTAAGCTAATTATGAACATTTTCCCAAGCATGACTATTTTGATTTAGACAACTGATCATATTATTTATGAAATATGAACTTATTTTCCAAATCCAAAACACTAGATTCTTCATTCTTTTTAAAAAATATAGTCCCCTCCCTCTCCCCTTCCCCCTCCCCCTCCCCCTCTCCCTCTCCCCACGGTCTCCCTCTCCCTCTCTTTCCACGCTCTCCCTCTGATGCCGAGCCGAAGCTGGACGCTGCCATCTCGACTCACTGCAACCTCCCTGCCTGATTCTCCTGCCTCAGCCTGCTGAGTGCCTGCGATTGCAAGCGCGCACCGCCACGCCTGACTGGTTTTCGTATTTTTTTGGTGGAGACGGGGTTTCGCTGTGTTGGCGGGGCTGGTCTCCAGCTCCTGACCACGAGTAATCCGCCAGCCTCGGCCTCCCGAGGTGCCGGGATTGCAAACGGAGTCTCGTTCACTCAGTGCTCAATGTTGCCCGGGCTGGAGTGCAGTGGTGTGATCTCGGCTAGCTACAACCTCCACCTCCCAGCCGCCTGCCTTGGCCTCCCAAAGTGCCCAGATTGCAGCCTCTGCCCGGCCACCACCCTGTCTGGGAGGTGAGGGGCATCTCTGCCTGGCCGCCCATCGTCTGGGATGTGAGGAGCCCCTCTGCCCGGCTGCCCAGTCTGGGAAGTGAGGAGCGCCTCTTCCCGGCCGCCATCCCGTCTAGGAAGTGAGGAGCGTCTCTGCCCGGCCGCCCATCGTCTGAGATGTGGGGAGCGCCTCTGCTCCGCCGCCCCGTCTGGGATGTGAGGAGCGCCTCTGCCCGGCCGGGACCCCGTCTGGGAGGTTAGGAGCGTCTCTGCCTGGCCGACCCGTCTGAGAAGTGAGGAGCCCCTCTGCCCGGCAGCCGCCCCGTCTGAGAAGTGAGGAGCCCCTCCACCCGGCAGCCGCCCCGTCTGAGAAGTGAGGAGCCCCTCCGCCCGGCAGCCGCCCCGTCTGAGAAGTGAGGAGCCCCTCCGCCCGGCAGCCACCCCGTCTGGGAAGTGAGGAGCGTCTCTGCCCGGCAGCCACCCCGTCCGGGAGGGAGGTGGGGGCTCAGCCCCCGCCCGGCCAGCCGCCCCGTCCGGGAGGGAGGTGGGGGGTCAGCCCCCACCCGGCCAGCCGCCCCGTCCGGGAGGGAGGTGGGGGGGCAGCCCCCGCCCGGCCAGCAGCCCCATCCGGGAGGGAGGTGGGGGGTCAGCCTCCACCCGGCCACCACCCCATCCGGGAGGTGGGGGGCGCCTCTGCCCTGCCGCCCCTTCTGGGAATTGAGGAGCCCCTCTGCCCGGCCACCATCCTGTCTGGGAGGTGTACCCAACAGCTCATTGAGAACGGGCCATGATGACGATGGCGGTTTTGTGGAATAGAAAAGGGGAAAAGGTGGGGAAAGGATAGAGAAATCAGATTGTTGCTGTGTCTGTGTAGAAGGAAGTAGACATGGGAGACTTCATTTTGCTGTGTACTAAGAAAAATTCTTCTGCCTTGGGATGTTGTTGATCTATGACCTTACCCCCAACCCTGTGCTCTCTGAAACATGTGCTGTGTCCACTCAGGGTTAAATGGATTAAGGGCGGTGCAAGATGTGCTTTGTTGAACAGATGCTTGAAGGCAGCATGCTCGTTAAGAGTCATCACCGCTCCCTAATCTCAAGTACCCAGGGACACAAACACTGCGGAAGGCCGCAGGGTCCTCTCCCTAGGAAAACCAGAGACCTTTGTTCACTTGTTTAACTGCTGACCTTCCCTCCACTATTGTCCTATGACCCTGCCAAATCCCCCTCTGCAAGAAACACCCAAAAATGACCAATAAAATTAAAATTAAAAAAAATTAAAAAAATAAAAAATATATAGTCAACAGCCTCTTCAGGAGTATCAAAAGTATGTCTTTGAAATACATTTACCAGTAAGTCTCCAACGAGGATAAGAACTTCACATCCAATCTAAGACAATCAGGCGTTTAGAAAACTACACTAAGAATCCCATAATCTACTTACTCACTGGAAGACCTGCTCAGAACAGAGAGAAAGCTCAAGTGAAAGCAAGTGGAAAGCCTGGGGAGGGCGTACCGGATTCCAGAGAGCCAGCTGCCGCTCGCTCATGCGGCTGAACCCAGTGGTGAAGACATTGCCATCGGCCAGGAAGATGGCTCTCATGGGTCTTGCTCCTTCATGTGCTTTCTCCTTCTCCTGGAGAGCAAAAAGGCACATGCCACACATTAAACTGCAAGAAGACAAGGTGAGTGGAGAAACTCGGGCACAGATCCAACCTCACCAACTGCCATTCATGTTCACCTGGGTGTGGGAGGGAGGTCAGTGTTAACCATCCCCCTTCCCCAGATGAGGAAACAAAGAGATACTATGTGATCTGGTCAAGGTCCCTCTGTGAGGCTGCAAGAATGCCAGGATTTAACTCAGAAGACTCGCTCTCTCCACCATATCCTGCTGCCAACCCAAGTCTATGCACTGTGAAAATAAAACACATGAAAGGACTCTGACAAATGTTTGTTTCTCAAGAGGATAATAACATAAGGAGATTAGGCATGCCCTACCATTTCTACCAATATCATAGGGCAGAAAGAAGCCTTGTCTAGTTAACGCTTTCCTTGACCTCAGTAGTTTAATGAATGCACTAGGACAACCCTTAGAAGATGTCGGGTGGAGAAAACACTTAACACAGGGCTGGGCAAGTCCCCAGGGCTCAGTAAGCACCAGCTACTATCATTGCCCAACTCTTGAAAAGAGATGCAGCCAAAGAACAACCACATCTCAGGAAGGGCCTCAGAGTGTGGCAAATGAGGACTTCTCAGACTTACTATGTGTAGTTTCAACACCGACTGAAGACCCAAATGTCCATCTTTTGTCAAGGTATGTGATTTTGTTGAGGTCCAGTTTGGGTGGCAGAAACTAAGACACTGAGCTGATGAGAGAACTTGTTGCTTTTCGCCCTGCGCATTTATTTATTTATTTATTTATTTATTTTTGTATTTTTAGTAGAGACAGAGTTTCACCATGTTGGCCAGGCTGGTCTCAAACTCCTGACCTCAAATGATCCACCCACCTCGGCCTCCCAAAGTGCTGGGATTACAAGTGTGAGCCACCATGCCCGGCCACCTGTTGCATCTTTAACAGCTGTGTTTGGAAAAGGGTGAGGAATTGATTCATCAATATTCAATACTAAGCTGCAAAATCAGGAATGCAGCCAATTGGTTTAATTGATCAAGACTTATAAACTCTTAAGGACTCTAGTGAACTGATACAAACTATTTCTTTGTGAAAAAAGGCTACAAAGTGAGAGACTTGAGTAAAAGCTGGAAAATTTACAACTCTGGAGAGAAGCACAACTGGGGAGACAGAAGCCTTTATAAGCCTTCTCTTATTCACAGTTGGTGTCTACACACAACAGGGTCCCACTGACCAGTACCGCTGCCTGCCTTAAAAAGCAGAAAGCTCACACTCACTCAAGTGCTCCAACTACTGAGTTTTCATCCTAGGAATACTCACAGCAACAATCTCTTGTTTCCTGGGATCAATGACTCTCACTTTCTTGTCTTTGGAAGCTGTGCAGATCAGACTGCCATTCCGGTTCCAGCTCACATTGTAAATCATGTCTGAATGCATATCGTCCAAGTTTATAAGGGCTTCCCCTGTTCCCACATTCCAGATGATAATGGCATTATCACAGCCTAAAACAGGCAAAACCATCAGAGATTAGAAGATTAGAAACACCTATGTAACACACTCAGAAAACTACAGATACAGTGAGAATACACATATGTATATGCAGAGAGAGAGAGAGAGAAAGAGAGAGAGAGAAAAGATGCGGCTGATTGTCAGAGGCCCTACCAGAGGCCCTACTTACTAACAGCGTTAAAAACTGAAGTGACAAAGGAAAAAGTTTGTATAAAAGAAATAAAAGTGTTAAAGTAAAAACACAACTTGTTAAGTTTGGGTTCATATGAAACAATCAACCAAACAAAAACAAAGAACCACACCAAAACAGAACCCTATTTTCTTTAAAGAGTTAACTGGGCTGGTAGACCCAAGTGACTTCAAGTTTCCCTTTCTAGTAAAACAAGCATCAGGGTGTTGCTGCCAGCTTTGGGAGACCCCTATTAGGCAAATACGCTCCTTCCTTTTAAAGAAAACTTTGATTTTCCCCTGCTATACAATTAGTACATGTATACTATAGAGAACATATATAAACAAAAGGAAAAAAAATCACTTTTAATCCCACCACTCAGAGAGAAGATCATTATTACTTTTTTGATGTTTCTTTCCGAAAGATATTTCTGTGCACATACATAAATTATTTTACATACAGAGATGGGTTCATACACTTTACACATGGGCTGCTTTCTGCACTTGGTGGTAGGCTGTGACCCTTTTCACGTGCCAAATAAACTAAAAGTAAAAGGTTTAAATGACTGTTTAGGGCACTCAACAAAAACTCTGGGTGGCAGGTTATTCAAATCAGTGAGACTCTAAGACACAGCTTTGGGATATTAAAGATGGTACAACAGTGGAAGGGAAAAGCCAAGAGTAAGGCCTGTTTGCTCACAACAGATCTGTACCTTTAAATGAAGAGAAAAATAGGCCAAGACTGCTCTGATCATGGTGAGAAGCCCAAACTGTAATCAAGTAGCTACATAGATTCAGAAACGGATTCTGAAAGAAGCCCACAATGTCAACTCATTCACCATCTCAGCTCACCAACTCCTTCCTTCCTTCAAGGGTCTGCCCCACGCCTCCAGGCCCCTTTAAAAAGAGGCAGCATGTGTTGCTCCTAGGATGTTAGTTCAAGGATGAAGCAAAATACGGGAAGGACATCCTAGAGGTGGATTCTTGCCAACAAAGCAATTTGGAAATCATTTAGAAAAAATAGTCACTAACATCCAGGATACTTAAGTTACCTAAGGGTTAGAAGTAGGAAACTGGCCGGGCACGGTGGCTCACGCCTGTAATCCCAGCACCCTGGGAGGCCGAGGCGGGCAGATCACCTGAGGTCAGGAGTTGGAGACCAGCCTGACCAACATGGAGAAACCCTGTCTCTACTAAAAATACAACATTAGCCAGGTGTGGTGGCACATGCCTGTAGTCCCAGCTACTTGGGAGGCTGAGGCAGGAGAATCGCTTGAACTCAGGAGGCGGAGGTTGCGGTGAGCTGAGATCATGCCATTGCACTCCAGCCTGAGCAACAAGAGCGAAACTCCATCTCAAAAAAAAAAAAAAAAAAAAAAGAAGTAGGAAACTGGAGAAAAAAACTACACAACAGTAACAAAAGTTGAAGCTAAACTCTGGGATGGACAATTGAACCTTCCTCTGCCTTCTTCCCTATAGGCAAACAGGTAACTTCAGCCCCGGCAGCTGGATCATATAGCCTAAAAATATGCAGAACACGACAATCACCCATTCTCCTTCACATGTAAAAGGGAGAATGCAGACCAGTCTGTTGCTGCTGCCCTGTATTGAGCCTTGATGAGAAAGGTAGCAGGGAATTTTCCATGAAGGAATTCCAGCTCTGGAATTTTTTTCCTCTCCTTAATCAGACTGAGGTTCTGAGAGAACATCAAAAATGATTCCCAAGTATAGTCGATGGTGATTATAAAAAACATGGCATCTTTTTTGAAAAGTGGGCCTTAGTTTCAATAGTTACTTGGCATTATAATTTTTTATTTAACTCACTATGAGTCATAAACATTGTGTATTCCCAGTTAAAAACTGAACTGCCCCTCCTCCTTTTTACTGGTGAGGGGAAAGACCTTTAAAAATCCTATCTCTAACATTAGTATCACTTTTTAAATAAACCACTTTTATTAAGGTATAACTTACATACAATACAATGCACCCATTTTAAGTATATATTTGCTAAGTTTCAACAAATGTATAAACTCATGTAGCCACTACTATGATCAAGATACAGAATATTTCCATCACCCCACAAAGTTCCCTCATGCTCTCTGTATTGCTTTCATAAAAGAAAATGAAATCTCCAATTTTAGATAAAGGAAAAGATTTCTGTACAACACCAGTGTCCAGAAATAGGGGACTTATCAAGTAAAATGAGGTATATCCAGAAAATGGATTAGTATGAAGTCATTAAAAATAGGAAGAGAGCTTAATGGCACGTGAAAAGGGTCACAGCCTACCACCAAGTGCAGAAAGCAGCCCATGTGTAAAGTGTATGAACCCATCTCTGTATGTAAAATAATTTATGTATGTGCACAGAAATATCTTTCGGAAAGAAACATCAAAAAAGTAATAATGATCTTCTCTCTGAGTGGTGGGATTAAAAGTGATTTTTTTTTCCTTTTGTTTATATATGTTCTCTACAGTATACATGTACTAATTGTATAGCAGGGGAAAATCAAAGTTTTCTTTAAAAGGAAGGAGTGTATTTGCCTAATAGGGGTCTCCCAAAGCTGGCAGCAACACCACAGAGGGAACACAGGGCTTCTGGCTCCCAACAAAGTACACCTTCTACCATATCAGAAATAACCAAAACTATGGTTCATGGAGGGCCCTGGCAGGAACCATGAAACCTGCTGAAATTATAGCAGGAAATTCATAGCTTTCCTCAGGTTGTCGAAATGGCCTTGAAACACACACACGTGCACACACACACAAGTATGTATGTGGGCTGGGGGAGCAGTGCACCCCAATACTCTTCACCATGGTTTCCTAATAATCTGCTTTAAAACCATATAGCACACAACCAAAACACATTTGCTTCCCCCCACTCAGAGAGCCACAAGAGTGGAAGACAAGGGGAGGACCGCTGAGCTCAGCTCCCACCTGCACTAAGAAGCACATTGCGGGCCGTTGGATGCCAAGCCACGATGCCGACTCTCTTTGAGTGGCCTTCCAAAATCACCACAGGTTCAGTCAGGGAAAGGGTGAGTCCATTTTCTGGGATCTGCCATACCTGTTGGACAAGGAAGAAAGATGATCCACATGAAAGCTATTGCCTTTCATTATCACATTTACAGTGACCATCCACTATAAAGATTTGCTCTATGTAAACAGAACATAGAGTGATATCTGGATGAAAGGCAGAATGTTGTGAAATGACCGTGTTAGGCGGTTTTTTTTTTGTTTGTTTTTTTGTTTTTTGTTTTTCGTTTTTGAGACGGAGTCTCACACTGTTACCCAAACTGGAGTGCAGTGGCGCGATCTCGGCTCACTGCAACCTCCATCTCCCAGGTTGAAGCAATTCTCCTGCCTCAGACTCCCAAGTATCGGCTGTTTTTAAAATGTAATATGTTATCGGAGATCAGGATACCAACAAGGACTACAAAACATTTCCTCTCAGCTTTTATTTAATATTATTTGGGATTTTATTCTAAATTCCTTGTTAAGTTCAAAACTCTCCAGTTAGAAGCATGCAAAAAATTGAAAGAAAACTACAAAATGATTGAAACACTCAAGAAAAGGAATGGGAATGAAGACACTTAGCTAAGTCTGTGGTTCTTGATGGGATGACATAGTTTTTAAAACATATTTTCTATAATTTTACACTTGGAAAACAAAAATACACTTAATATTTTTATAACATGTATTATAGAAAATATTACAAAAGAAAAAAATGAATTAGACCTCATCAAAATTAAAAGCTTTTGTGCTTCAAAGGACACTATGAAGAAAGTGAAAAAACAACCTGCAGAATGGGAGAAAATAACTTACAAATCATACATTTGATAAGAGACCCATAGCCTGAATATAGAAAGAACTCTTAGAATTCAACCAAAGGACAAATAACCCAATTGAAAAATAGGCCAGTCATCTAAATAGACATTTCAAGGAAGACATATAAATGGCGAAAAAGCACATGAAAAGATGTTTGGCATTATTAGTAATTACAGAAATGCAAATCAAAACCACAAGCTCTCTCTTCATGCCCATTAGGATGGCTAGAATCAAAAAGACAGATAACAAGTGTTCACAAGCATGTGAAAAAATCAGAGCCTGCACACATGGCTGGTGAAAATGTAAAATGGTATAGCCACCATTTGGTGGCAGACCTTGGAAAACAGCCTGGCAGTTCCTTAAATGATTAAACAGAGTTATCATATGATCCGGTAATTCCACTCCTAGGGATATACCCAAGAGGATGGAAACTATGTGTCTATGCAAAAACTTGTACAAGAATGTTCATAGAAGCATTATTTGTAATAGCCCAAAGGTGGAAACAACCCAAATATCCATCTATCGATAAATGGCTGAACAAAATGCGACATATTCATACACTGGAATATTATTTGGCCATAAAAAAGAATGAAGTACTGATACATGCTACAACATGAGCAAACTCTAAAAACATTATGCAAAGTGAAAGAAGCCAGACATAGAAGACCGCATATTGCAGGATTCCATGTATGTGAAATGTCCAGAATAGGCAAATCCGTAAAGACAGAAAGTAGAATAGTGGTTGCTTAGTGTTGGGGAGAGTGGAGGGAGGCAGGTGGAGGGGTGATAGCTAAAGGATTTGGGTTTCTATATGAGGTGATGAAAATTTTCTATAATTGTCTGTGGTGATGGTTGTGAATATTCTAAAACTCAGTGAATTGTACATTTTAAATGAGTGAATTCTATGTGAATTATATCTCAATAAAACTTGTTATTTAAGAAAATCCTCTTGACTAGTGAAGACATGCAGAAGACTCACCACATCTTAATTGGGGACATGCCTGGGCACAGGGGGAGAAAGGGACAGGGAAAGTATGAGTGGAAGGAATGAAAGACTTTATGTTTAACAATGAACAACAAAGGTTTCAAAAGGTTAAGAAACAAACAACCTCTAAGAAAAGGGCTGAGTTACAGGTAAGCTGAGTAGCATCAAGAACCCTACCGAAGACCAGATATTAAATAATATTTAAGTTTATGAAAAAGCTAAAGTTTAAAATCATTATCTTCTACATGAAGATTAAAACAAGTAAATTTACCATCAGAAAATGATTTTGAGGAACTAGCTCATGAAAAATTTAAGAACTTGTCAATGAAAAATCATGTTCAACACTAGAACACGTGAGAAAAAGAATTTTCCTTTGTGGGAACTTTAAAGAAGGAGACAAACAATTGTCTGTTTTCAATTGCTTAGTGGAAGGCAGAGATCTAGACTGGATGAGTGTTTAGGGTTCAGCTCAGTTCTACTGTCCTGCAAAAAATGAGAACAAAAAGTTTGCCATTCTGAAGAGTGGGAAAAAGTCATGAGTTGAGTGATTTGTTCATTTTTACAGCTAAATTCTGCCCAGGCTAAATATAACCCCTTATGCAAATCATAACAAAAATAAACCTGCATTTTGAGGGCCCAAGCTTAGAACATCACCTAATTTCCCCAGAGCCAAATTTTAAGCAAGGCAGGTGTGAACAAGCATAGAAGGAAAAGGAAGACCTACCCTGCCCTCTCCCTCCCTCTGCGGAAGAGACCTTGACCCAGGCCTCTTTCCCCTGCGGAGAACATGGGCATCTGCTCTCCTCCATTACTGCATGTTAGCTTTCATCCTGACATGCACTATTTTTATTCAAGAATTTATGATTAGTGAAACAACTCCACATTGAACTTGACTATCTGAATATAAAGCAGGACTGACATTTTGAACAGAACAAACAGAAAACAGTGACTACTAATTTGATCAAAGCATGAAGTCGACAGAAAAACAATTATGAAATGGGACTTCAGTGACTCAACAGGAAAAGCATTTTGCAAGATGCACTGTGACCCCACTTAGAACTGACAGAGTGGTAATACCACCTTCAATCTCCAGATGGCACCCCAACCATGGCCTGCTGGGTTTCCTTGCAAGGACTGAAAACGCCTCTGTGTCTCACTCTGAGCACAGCTAGTGCATTTTCCAAATCACTAATGAGACGTGGAGTGATGGGAGACTTTGTTTATAATCAGCATTTCCAACCTTAAAATATGAGGGCAGAAGCAGAGCTCATAATGGGGACTTAACCTTTTCCTTTCTCTAGCTTCTCCCCATCATCTTTTCCTGGATTAAAAGAAAATTTTAATGATGAAGCAACATTTATTAATTTTTAAAATAAGGAAACTCTGTGTGTTCCTTCTTTACCTCACCTCCAGCTGGTTTAACGGTTCCCTCAGCTGGGTTTATTCACATAAGACAAGCACCTAAGCCATTTTACTACCTTGGTTAACTCTTTCTTGTAACACATTTATTGAGTTACAATAAATTGTATTGTAACCCATCTAGTACTGGGTAACTAAATACAGGCCCTGCTCTTGAGAAGTTGATGGTCTAACAGAAAGCAGAGACTTCTATCAGACTGAAAATCAAAGACAACAAATCCAAGTGGTGTGATACAGACAGTTAGAGAGTGAGCACCAGAGTCAGGCAGAGTCTGGTTCAAATCCTGCCTGGGCCACTACCTGTGATGATCCTGGCAAACATCACTGCATAGAGAAAACATTAGTACCTATGCCTGCGAGGTGTGCTAAGAGAATTAAGGAATTAATTAACCCTCAGCACAGAGCCAGACACACACATAGTGCCTCCAGAATGCAGAGACAGTACACAGCAGGGCTGAGATTATGGGCTCTGGCCAGACTGATGTGACTGAATTCCTGATTCAGTCACATAGTGGTGTGACCTTGAGGACATTCACCTAACCTTTCCAGGACTTAATATTGAACCTGCCTTCTGTGAGGCGGTTTGAAGACTAACATGGTAACATGAAACTGACACATTTAGAAGAATGCCTGGCATAAGGCAGACACTGAGTGTTAGTTGGTATTATTGCACAGTGCAACCAATGCTATGCTGGCATAAGCCGACCGCACTACTACGAAATTAGCTTCCTGCTAACCAAGCTTGGTCCACCCAGGAGGGCTCCCTGAGGAGGTGACCTCTAAGGATGAACAAGACTTAGGTGAAAGTAGAGCAGAATATGAGGAGAAATTGAATATCCAGTCTCAAAATAAAACACGCAGATGTGTAGAGCAATTTTCTAAAAAGTGCATGCAGCATTTAAACAATGCCATAAAGAAGCTGGCTCAGGAGCTGCTAGGGAAAAAGCACCAGAGTGAAAAAGCTAATACTATAAGCACAAGGACTGCAATGCGAGAAGAAAGTGAGTGAAAAAGTCTCTGAAATGAAATAAGAAGACAACAGAATTCTTGTGTCCACTGGTAAAGAGGGGGTGGTGTTCTCTACGGTGGACTGTGGAAAGAGCTTGGGGGTTGGGGGCGGTCTGTAGGTCTTTCCACACTCAGCATACACATGCTCTGGCTGGCACCCAAAGGCCATGCTCACAGGCCTGTCATTATGTGGCTCTCTGCCCTCTTCAGGGTTGTCTGCTACTCTGGGTGATGGCCTGCTCGGTTTGGACTGATGTTCCTGCAGCTCAGGGACAACAACAAACAGAAGCACCACTTGGTACATGTTTGGTCCTCTTGTGTGTAATATGGGATGCTGGCCTGGGTGTCAGAAGACACAGGCTCCTGTCAGAGCTGGGACACTAATTGGTCATGTTAGCATTAAGAAGGGATTTCACTTCTGGGAGCCTGAATTTCCTTAATACTGGGGACAGCTGTGCTTACTCAGGGGTTATTAGAAGGGTTAAATGAGCTCAAACATTTTGCATGCCCCAAAGCACCACCCTAATAGGAAATACTGCAACTAGGGAGAAGAGCATGGGGCTTTCTTTGGAGCTAGACAGATCTGGGTCTGGCTGAGCCTTTTATCAGCTGTGTGACCCTTAACAAAACTGCCACTCTCTGAGCCTGTTTCCTAAGTTGTAAAATAGGCCACACTCATGGCTTACTGTGCGGATACAATAACTAAATATTATCATGCACATAAAGGCTTAGAATAGCGCGTGGCAAAAAAAAAAAAGAGCCTACCATATTTTCATGATGACTTTTTTTGCTGTTAATATGACCACTATGACGCCATATATATTTCTAGGTCTGAACATCAGAATTTCTTAGAATGAGTCTTGTCTTCAAATTAATTCAGCACTGTACCCAATTAATTAATACTAACTAATTTACACCCAAGATATCATTATGTGTGAAAGCTCTGGTTTATACCTAGGCCAATTACCACAGTAAGGACAGATCTGATCTCTGTGCAGGCTTGTTAGCTTTTCTTTGTTCTATGGCTACAGACTGGTACTGTAATACCAACCAGCTTTCTCAAAACTGTATGCAGTGAGTGCAGAGGAAAACAGACACAAAACACCCAGAGTAGGCATCTCAGTGCAGCAGAGAGTACAAGTTATCCCTACTTCCTCTTTTTTATTTTATTTTCTTAATTTAAATAATGCTGTGTGTTCCTAACATTTTCTGTTTGGACAACACATTACTATGGCAATGTTTTGTTTTGAAAGGACAAAAATGAAATCAGAGGAGCTGTGGTGGCTCAGGCCTGTTGTCCTGGTGCATAAGGAAGTGAGGCTCGGCGTTCAAGGCCAGCCTGTGCAACATAGAAACCTCTCATCTATATAACCAAAAAAATGACATTCAGTTCCAAGGGCTCCTACATGAAAAAGTGAATCCATCAGTAAAATCCCATTGTGGTTCTGGAAAAAAACAACTTTAAGCACATGTTCAGAACTACTGTACCATGGGCATCCTTTTCACATGTGAAAGCCTGGATATGGAAAAAGGACAACTCAAGAGAACAATCCCAACAAGAAAAAAGGAAAACTAAGACACTTGGGTTTCTCTCACGTGCTAATTTTAAAGTACAATTAGTTAAATAGTTTTATTTTTCAAATACTGCTTTCCAGACACTGCTTCCCTATTTTAGTCACCCATCATCAACTTGCTACTGGGCTAGGACTAGAGTTACAGCCATAAAAAGGGTTACACCCCCAAAAGACCCTATTTTTCCATTCCTAAGGAAACCAATTCCAAATGGGAAATGAAGAAAATACATGAGACAGGAGAAAGCTTAAAGATGTGGTAGCAGCTGCAGACCAGTACAGCGTCCTACAGACGCCCACAAAGGCCTGCATGTAGGGCATCAGGGCATTCCCAAATGAACCATGACGTGCAGAGTGGCACCGAGTTCGGGAAAACCAAGAACCGAGTGTTGGGTTCCGATCTGCCAGGGTTATAATATCCTCTGGCAAATGGCCCAGATGCAATCTGTACAAAATGGAATTAAGACGAAGCCCTCCCTGCTGAATGCCTGAGAGGAACCAAAACATCACTTCCATTTTTATTTCAGGGCAAAAACTATATTAGAAAGCATTAAAGCTCTTTTAAAAATTGTCTAGCAGGTTTTCCAGTCTTTGTCAAATGCCTTCCCACCCGCCAAAAAAAACTATATTAGGAAAATTTATAATGGAAGCAAAAATGGATTAGATAGGGTATTTTTGTTGATTTCTACAGAAGAATAAACTGATTTGAGAGAAGGGAGAAGCGTCCTTTAAACTTAAAAATTTGGACTATTCTATAGCTGGAGACAATTAAGACTATCATTTTGCAATATCTTTCCAACTCCCAGACTCTGGAAGGAACAATTATGCAATCCCATTGTCCAAATTAGCCATTTTTTGCATTTGTGTTTGATTACTACCCTGCAGATAAGGAACAATGTTGAATCAACATCATTCACTAAACTTAAGTTGACTGCTCTTTGTATTATTTAAAGCACTATTATTTTCTTGGAGCTAATATTTCCCCCAAGTAAAATACTTAGGTAGCCACAATCTTAAAACTCTCTTTGAGAAGATACTGCTGAAGAAAAGAACTCACAGAGCCAAAACTCTGCAAAGCTAGGAGTGAAGTGTAGTTTCTGGGAGTACAATTTACACAACTGCTGTGTGATAGTATAAAATGCTGTTTCACAAAGTAGTACATGAAAGGTAAACTGTGTCAATATAATTTAATTTTAGGCTGTGTAAAGAAGCCACGTCTAAAAAATGGGGGAATGTATCTTAAGATTGGTGTTCCCTCTCCTAAAACTGCAAAGTAGCTGTCACTAAATCAATGCCCACAAAATTAACAAATCAATGCTTAAATGCTTAGGACTTCATGGATTTATACCATAAGTAATACAAAAAGCAGTTTTTAAAAAATTACTTTTATTCTTTTACAGTTCATTTGATAAACTGGTTCTACTGTATTTTTCTATGAAATGTCTATTAAAGGTACTCTTGCTGCTAGGAATCCACTATAGGTATCCATCAAAATCCCCATTACAAAAAATAACAGTCCATTATACGTTTACAGCTTCCTTTTGACTCTCGATAGGCATATTATTATCATACCTCCATATTATATGGAAGGCAACTGGGGCTGAGAGCGTTTAAGCGAAGCGACCTGCAAATGCTCAGAACTCCTACTCCCAGGATCTCCTTGATATCCTTCTTCTACTAAAACTAGGCCTTGTTATACTATCTACTATTTGTAGCTCATGAGCTACTACCAATAGCCTAGGCTTGAGAAACTACACAGAGCTTTTCCGTTAAAAAAAAAAAAAAAAAGGCGGGGGGTGGCGGGGGGTGTTGTCTGAAACCATTTGATCTATAATACAGTGTTCTTTTACCTTCAGAAGAGCAAGGTGGAAAATAAGGTATTAAGAAGCAGGTAGGCTAGGAGAAGATCAAACATTTCTTTAAACTTTCATTTCAACTGCTAAGCTATACAAGCTTCAATTACTCCAATAATAACATGATATAGGGGATATTAAGTGATTAAAGGGTGATTTAAATATCAGTTCTATACTTAAAGATTTTTTAAAATTAGAAAGATTTATCCCAAAGCATTATTTAATTTACAAAATGTGCACTCCAGCAATGCCAATAAAAGGGCGACATTGAGGATTCTGGGAAGATGAGAGAATCTCAGTGGCAGCATTTTTTGGGGGTTTTTCCGAAGTCCCTCCGTAAAAAGACAGAGCTAGCAGAAAACAAAACAAAACAAAAATCCAGGGACAACATTTACACAAACTAGGTGATATCCCCAAAATTTAAGCAGGTGGGAGCAAACACCAACAGCCACACGACCTGCATGTGATCAGCCTCGGGTGTGTGTGGGAAGGGACAGCAAGGGGACACCTGACAGACCTGAGGGCAGCAGGCCGGTGTGAGATCAGCAGCAGAAACTGGGAAGGATTTTGCCTTTTCCAACAGAAGCTGGGCACATGGGTACTGAATTTAAAAGGTCTGAAGAGGCAGGCACAATCTAGACCCCAGCACTCTCAAAATCACCCACAGCGGGCTCCCTTCCAGGATGGGCCCACAAAGGAGACACTCCAGGAAATGAAATCGAATTTCAGCAGGATAGCAGTAAGAGGGATAAAAGCATAAGAGAGGCTACATAAAAGCCAGGCTAGGAAATATTAGAAAGCAAGGCACCATGTTTCTGAACACTATCTGAATATGTCAGAGAGGGAGTTCTGTGAAATTAGAGCAGCTATCTGAACCAAGCCACCATTTAAAAAGCTTGGGAAAATTAAATCCACATAAAAATAAGCAAGAAAAAAAAATCAAGGTTGAACTCCAAAATTACTGTCAGAAAAAAAGAAAATAAGACACAGAATAAGATCCCTTTAGACAATATAAGACTGCTAAAAAGACATGCTCAAAAGAGATAAAAACTACATTATAGTGATTCAAAATAAGAAAACAATATATAAAACATTATAAACCAGAACTTGAAAAACTCAAAACAAAGTGACAGACATCAAGAAAAAAATTAGAAATAAATGAAGACAAACCAAGAAAGAACACAAGAGCAAATAAACACAACAAATAATGCCCCCAAAAGAAATAAAAGGAAAAGAGCAAAATAATAATAATAATAATAAAGTCTAAAAAAAAAGAATAAAAAAAAAAGGTTTAGGGCCTGGCATGGTGGCTCACACGTGTAATCCCAACACTTTGGAAGGCCAAGGTGGGAGGAATGCTTGAGGCCACAAGTTAGAGGCCAGCCTGGACAACATTGTGAGAAACCTCGTCTCTACAAAAAAAATAGAAAATTAGCTGGGCATGGTGGTGAGTGCCTGTGGTTGCAGCTACTCGGAAGGTTGAGGTGGGAGGATTGCTTGGGCCCAGGAGGTCAAGGCATGATCGTGCCACTGTACTCCAGCCTGGGTGACAGAGCAAGACCTTGTCTCAAAAAAAGAAAGAAAAGGAGTGGGGGGAGGAAAAGAAAAGAGGTTTGGAGAGAAACTGACAATGACTAAAGAGAAGTAAAGAAGACAAAGCATATGGATAACAGGAGCTTCTGATAAAGAAAACCAAAGCAAAGGAACAGGAAAAAAAAAATTAAAAACTGTAATGCAAGAAAAAAAAAAAAGACTGGAAACTATATATTGAAAGAGCATATCATGGTATCTAGAGATACCAACTCAGAATGACCAACAATCTTCTAGTAAAATTAACTATATTTGAAGAAAAAAAATCTTATGAACATTTAGGCAAAAAGAGCATATGATTTATAAAGGAAAGGAAATTAGATTATAATCTGACTTTGACAGCAACACCTATGCCAAAAGAAAATGGAATAAGGTATTTAGTTACTCAAGGAAAAACTGTGAGTCAATAATTTTATTTATTTATTTATTTAGAGACAGGATTGGTCTCACTCTGTTAACCAGGCTGTAGTACAGTGGCACGATCACGGCTCAATGCAGCCTTGATCTTCCAGGTCCAAGAGGTCCTCCCACCTCAGGCTCCCAAGCAGCTGGGACCACAGGCACTCACCACCACACCCAGCTAATTTTTTATTTTTTTGTAGACACGGGGTTTCACCATGTTGCCCAGGCTGGTCTTGAACTCCTGGGCTCAACCCGTCCACCTGCCTCGGCCTCCCAAATTGCTGGAATTACAGGTGTGAGGCACTGTCCCTGCCCAATCATTTTATATTCAGAGAAACTCACTTTCAAGTAAAAAGATCACAGATAACTTATTATCAGTATACAAGAACTCAGAGAATATTGTTCCCACTCCTTCTTAAGGAATCCACCCAAGAACAAGCTTCGGATGATCCAAATGCCTGGTGCAAGATTGACACAATGATTGATGGAGAGTACTTCAATG